>NC_000020.11:8399668-8551183 GCF_000001405.40 Homo sapiens | reverse complement strand
GTAAAATTCCTATCCTTCAGTTATCCTAAATTGAAAACCAACAATTTAGCAAAAGAATTTATGAGTGATTTATGATGAAATGCAGTCATTCATGTCTTATGAAATTATACTTAATTCAATTATTTGTGTTAATCAGTGGAAAGGATGTGAGAACGACAACAAAAAAGTTAGCCCAGACATTATTGGATACAATGTCTTAATGCCTGTCATTCCTGTTATAGAATCTAAATTGGTGAACTGATAGATGTATCTTTTAATCCACTCCTGATAGAAATTTTATTATTCAGACACTTGGGGAGAGGAATAGAGAAAAAGAGAGAGAGGGTACAAGAGCAAGAGAGATGCCACCAGAAGAAGTCTCCAAACTCTTTAGGAGTTGTTGCTAGGAGTTATACTTTTTAATTCATTATACATGGTGAATTTGATGTAAGGTGCACAAGACACCATAGAAAAAGCTTAAAAGCAACTAACTGGTTTAAAGTTTGATTTTAAGAACATATTCAGGGTACTGTGATGGCCCAGCAATGAAGAGGTCTTGGGGAAGTATGTAAGTCCATTCTTATGCTGCTATGAAGAAATACCTGAGATCGGGCAATTTATAAAGAAAAGAGGCTTAATTGACTGACAGTTCTGCATGGCTGGGGAGGCCTCAGGAAACTTACAATCATGGTGGAAGGCACCTCTTCACAGGGTGACAGAAGAGAGAATGAGAGCCGAGGGAAGGGGGAAGCCCTTTATATGACCATCAGATCTCATGAGAACTCACTCACTACCGTGAGAACAACACGGGGGAAGCCACCCCTATGATTCAATTATATCCACCTGGTCCTGTCCTTGACACATGGGGATTATTACAATTCATGGTGAGATTTGGGTGGGGGGAACACAGAGCTAAACCATATTACTCTATCCCTGGCCCCTCCAAAATCTCATGTCCTCACATTTCAAAACACAATCATACCCTTCCAACAGTCCCCCAAAGTCTTAACTCATTCCAGCATTAACCCAAAAGTCCAAGTCCAAACTCTCATCTGAAATAAGGCAAGTCCCTTCCACGTATGAGCCTGTAAAGTCAAAAGCAAGTTACTTACTTCCTACATACAATAGGGGTACAGGCATGGGGTAAATATACCTGTTCCAAGTGGGAGAAATTGGCCAAAATGAAGGGGCTACAGGCCCCATGCAAGTCCAAAATCCAGCCAAAGGCCTCAGGAAACTTACAATCATGGCAGAAGTCACCTCTTCACAGGGCAGCAGGAGAAAGAATGAGTGCCAAAGGTAGGGGGATGCACCTTATAAAACCATCAGATCTCCGCGGGTGTGGTGGCTCATGCCTGTAATCTCAGCACTTTGGGAGGTCCATGCAGGCAGATTGCTTTGAGCTCAGGAGTTTGACACCAGCCTGGGCAACATGGCAAAACCTTGTCTCTACAAAAATACAAAAGTTAGCCAGGCATTGGTGATTCACACCTGTAGTCCCAGCTACACTTGAGCCCAGGAAGCAGAAGTTGCAGTGAGCCGAGATTGCACCACTGCACTCCAGCCTGGGTGACAGGGGAGACTCTGTCTCAAAAAACAAAAACAAAAACATAGACCTCATGAGAATTCGTTCGCTATCACGAGAACAACATGAGGGAAACTGCCCCCATGATTCATTTATCTCCACCTGGTCCTGCCCTCAACACATGGGGATCATTACAATTCAAGGTGAGATTTGGGTGGGGACACAGAACCAAACTTATCAGGAAGTGCATGAGCTAGGGCTTGTTTTTGTAATCAAAAGCAAACACTGTGCAGTCCCTTAGCCACCTGGACATTCCAATGAGTCCTGAACTAGTCCTCTGTTAATTAGTAATTGGCTAAAAAATGAAAATAGTTAAAAGCAAGCACTAGGCATCTTGGGCCTAGACATTCTTCTTAGATTTCACTTCATCTATATCAACTGTAACAGTACCTGACAAAGCAGGTTTTAAAAAAATATATATTTATTTATTTATTTTCTGGTTATTCTTCTTTAAAATTTTACTTTAAGTTCTAGGATACATGTGCAGAACATGCAGGCTTGTTACATAGGTATACATGTGCCATGGTGGTTTGCTGCACCTATCAACCCATCATCTAGGTTTTAAGCCCTGCATGTATTAGGTATTTGTTTTATGTGCTTTTCATTTGCCTTCCCATTTTCTTTTTAAATTTCTTTCAGTCTTCAGGGATTGTGTCTTTCCCATCCTCACTGCTTCACTGAAAATCATTTGCTGGGAAATGTTAAATAGCTTATTTTCTTGGCATCCAATATTTCGCAGTGGTTACTTCTTGATCAACATTCAGAGCTCAGTAAAGCACTTTAACTTATTCTACTAATATTTATTGAAAGCTCACCTGTGTCAGACACAAAGTTAGGCTTGAGAACATGGAACATAAAATTAAGTAATACCAAATACAACCACTGTTCTCACGGAGCTTACAGCCTAGAGTTAAGACTGTAGATATGAATAAATATAAGATTATAAGTAGAAATAAGTGATCTGAAATACAGAGATTTGGTTCTATTGAATATATACATATAGAGATAGACAGATAGATGAATAGATGGATAGATAATAGACAAAAACATAGATAGTAGATAATAGAAGAAAAAGAAAGAAGAAAAGAAAGAGAGAGAGGGAGGGAGGGAGGAAGTAAGAAAGGAAGGAAGGATAGAAAGATAGATGATGGAAAGAAAGAACAAATTAATGAAAACAGGATGAAAGAAGAAAAGGAAGGAAAGAAAGAAGGGGAGGGAGGGGAAGGGAAGGGAAGGGAGGAAGGAAGGAAAGAAGGAGAGAGACAAAAGAAAGAAAGAAACAAAGAGAAAGAAAAAATGATGGAAGGAAGGAAGACGAAAGAAAAACAAAGAAAGAAAGAAAAAATGAAAGAAGGAAGGAAGGGTGAAAAAGAGGAAGAGGGGAGGGAGGGAAGGAAGGAAGGAAGGAAGGAAAGAAAATGGGAAGAAAGAAAGCTAATGGTGAGAAAGGAAAAAAAGAGAAAGAGAGAAAGAAAGAAGGAGAGAATGGAAAAAAAGAAAAGGAAGGAAGAAGGGAAGGGAGGAAGAAAGGGAGGAAGGGAGGGAGGAAGGTAGGAAGGGAGGTCCCTGGACCAGGAGTGTGTGGGTGGTGAGGAAGGCTTCTCTGAGGAACTAGCACTTGAGATATGAAGGTGGAGGAAAAGTATAACTAAGGGAAGAGATGGGAGAAGAGAAGCATTCTCAGTAGAGGGGATCTCTTCCTCCCAGAGAAGAGGAGACTTAGAACAAATGGTCTGTAGAAGTGAGTGGGGCTAGAGCATGTAGAGCCTTCAAGGTCCTGCATAAGGATTTTGATATTTATACTAAAAGCAATGAAAGTGATTGCAGGTTTTTAAACCTAGGACTCACTTGATATACTAGTTAATCTGGAAACATTGCTCTCAATGTAGGTGGAGAAAACACTGGAGAGGAGCATGAATGAAGGATGGAGAGAACAGTGAGGAGGCCACTGTGGAATGTCAAGGTGGACTGACAAGTGGGGTAGTTGAGAAAGAGAAAAATGGATGGATCCAAAAATACAACAGGACAGAATGAATCCAGAAGTACTATTTCAGAACATAGAACGGGTTAGATATGGGCAATGAGGAAGAGGGAGGTAAAAAGGATACTGTCTAAGTTCCTTGCTTGCATAACTGGGTGGGTGGTGGTGACGTTATTTAGACTAAGGAGGTGATGCTTTTGTAATGCATTTGACATATGTCCCCACGCAGGACTAGTTTCCTGAGTCTCAGCTTGAGGTATTATGAGGAATAACTATCTGATCCAAATCTGTGGTGGACAATTAGATCATTCCTTTGATAATATCCATATCTGAAAATGCCATAATTGTTTATTTAAAAAAACAGTAGTCCCAAAGTCTGCCGTAGGGCTTCAGTGAACATTAGAGCGAGCCGTAAGATGACAGACTGAACACAGAAAACAAATTGCTTGATGCTTAGTAGCCTGAAGAAACAATGAGCTGGCTTTATTACAAGTTTGGGGAAATGAGAAAGTTTTGTGAAGTGATAGTCTGCCACTCTGGGTTCTTCAGAGAAGAATTCCTGTTATTATTCTAGAAATGTAAGCATTTGTTTTTATCAGTGGGCCATTTCACCAGTAACTGTTAACTAATGCCAAGCCTTGATTTCCAATTAAGAGGCGCAATTATAAATCTTCAGATACATGTAGCAAAATTATGCTCTCCAGAAACAGCAGAGCAGAGATAAGGCAAAGTCATTGCCAGAAGATAATATTTAGAAAAGCACAGATGAATTCAAAAGAACTCATTTATTATGATATTAAAAAAAACTCTTTTTGGAAAACAGAAATGTGATTTTTTTTTTTTTGTCAAGAGGGTTTATGATACTAGTCATTTCCTACAGACACACAGCTTGAAGAAAAACATCCAGAACACAACATTGGTAATGGTGTTTACTATAATATCATCAACTGATCATTTCAGCCACAGATCTGAGGTTTATCAGCTCTGTGCTGAATATACTTATTTTTGCAGCAAGGTCTGTTTATAGTGTGATTGTGCTTTAGAAACACAGGTTGCATTACATTACCTCCCCCCTAGAGCTTAAGTGTATGGTCTCAGTTTCCATAAAGAATCAGAGTGGCATTCTTGGTAGTATAAGAAAAATCTAAATCATGATGTTCTCTTAAAATACAGCTTAGGAACCAACTTATGAATGTATCATATATTAGAAAAATACCAGTGAAATATTCATCAGAGGGATTCATTGGTATCAATTAGAAATGATCACTGGACCAGGAAATCACAAATTTCAGTTTCTTTCTTTTTTTTTTTTTTTTTTTTTTTTTGAGATAGAGTCTTGTTCTTGTCATCCAGGCTGGAGTCAGTGGCGCGATCTCAGCTCACTGCAACCTCCGCCTCCTGGGTTCAAGCAATTCTCCTGCCTCAGCTTCCCAAATAACTGGGACTACAGGATACGCCACCATGCCCAGCTAATTTTTGTATTTTTATTAGAGACGGGGTTTCACCATATTGGCCAGGCTGGTCTCAAACTCCTGACCTCGTGATCCGTCCGCCTCGGCCTCCCAAAGTGCTGGGATTACAGGCATGAGCCACCGCGCCCAGCCAAGAATTTCAGTTTCTTATGTTCAACAATCTGCTAGATTTTTGCAATGATGGCATACAAAGAACACAATATTTATGTTTCTTCTCCAATGGTGATTCTGCCACCTTAAGCAAGTTACTTCTCTTTAGCCTTAATCCCTCTATGTAAAACTGGTATGATCTTACTCTTCTCACAAGCCTGTTTTGATTATTAAATAGAATAACATATGGTAAATGTGTGCCGTATAGAAGAAATAATAATGTTAGCTGTTCCACTAGCACCACTAAGTCAGCATGTCTTAAAAATACATCCACTATCTTTCACCCATGCACTCTTTCAGGGCTTTTTACTTTGGCTGGGAATTTGAGAGTCATCCTTGGTACTTTCTTCTTTCTCACCTCCCACATCCAGATGGTTTTAAGGTCCAGCCAATTTTTTGATACAATGTTATTTATATTCATTCATATCTGTCCAAACCTATAATCTACTACACTAGTTGAAATCCTCATTTTCTCTCCCCTAAATCATTGCATTTAGTTTTTAATTGGCCTTCCTACCACTGGTCTGTCCCAACATTAGTGCATACTCAACAGAGCTGCCAAAGTCCTCTTCCGCTGACACACTTTGAGTCATACGACGCTTCTGCTCAGAAACCTCCAGTGGTTTTCCATTTCCAGCCTAGAAAGGCTAGCATGGAAAACCTTCCATGGTCCTGTCTTCAATTAACCTTCTTTAGCCTCCTCTTCCATATCACACTAGTGCCCCAAACATAAGCTGTCTCCCAGCCAAACAGGCCACCACATCATTCCAGAAATGCCTTGTATTTTCCTGATTCTATGACATGACTTAATCTATTCTTAATGCTCACTTCAAACACCACTTTTCTCAGGAAGGTTTCCGAGAGACAAGTGTTTATTTTTCCCCCTATCTAACTCCATTGCGTTAATTTTTGTCTTATAGTTTCCACATATGGCTTTGCATTCAAGTTACTTTTAGACACATCTTATCCATTCTTCTAGACTGTCATCTCCTTGACAATAAAGACTGTGTTTTATTCATCTTTGTGTATCCTTCCATGCTTCACTCAGTAGCAGATGCTCAAAAAAATGTTACTGGATACAAGAATGTAAAAGTAGATATCAAATCTGTGACTTTCAATTTTGTTACAGATACCCTCTCTTTACAAATCAGACATTTCTGTATTTCACTATTTTGTGTTTTATTGAGAAGAATGGCTCTACCTAAGGAATATATCAGACATGTGGGTGCTGGTCCCATTTGGGGGAAAACTTCAGCATATGTAATAGACACAGTTTCACATGCACATCAGGAAAACTTGCACATGCCCTGAAGTTAAGGCAGTGTCAGAAACATCTAATAATTGGTGTCCTTTCCAACTTCTTGGCGTCACTGATGTGAATGCATCTTGGAAAAGGCCATTTTAGCAGTCCTTACACATACGCAGTGCCTTCTCATTTTCAAAGCACTTTTCCAGCATTCACATTGCACTTGACCCCCACATAGCAATGTGGAAACAGGTGCTCTGATTGCCACTTGAAAGAGAAGAAAATTGTATTCCCAAGAACAATACATGACTTGTCCAAGGTCACAAAGTTAGGCAGTAGTAGAAGTGAGGCAAAAATAGAATCTATCTCATAAATCCTGACCTAGTGTGCTTTTGCATTTCGGTATCACTTTGAATTCTCCACTGTTATTCTGCATATTCTCAAGTGTTCTGGACTCCTGAAATGATCTTTTGCAGTGCAAAATCTTGCACATGCTCACATACCCACTATTCTTCTGGCTTAGAGAGAAATTTGGTTTCAACTGATACTCTTTGCAACAGCTGTTCTCTCATCTGCCTTTTTTTTAAATTTTCAACTTTTACTTTAGAACCCGAGGTACATCTGCAGGTTTGTTACAGAGGTATACTGCGTGATGCTGAGGTTTGGGGTGTGATTGAACCTGTCACCCAGGTTGTGAGCATAGTACCCACATAAGGAGGTGATCCTGCTTATTTCTTTTACACAATTTAAGTTATATCCTGGTTATGATGTTGTATATTAGTCCATTCTCACACTGCTATGAAGAATACCCAAGACTGAGTAATTTATAAAGGAAAGAGGTTTAATTGACTCACATTTCTGTATGGCTGGGGAGGCCTCAGGAAACTTACAATCATGGTGGAAGGTCCCTCTTCACAGTGCAGCAGGAGCGAGAATGAGAATGAGCCCCCTTATTAAAACCATCAGATCTTGTGAGAAGTCACTCACTATCACGAGAACAGCATGGGGGAACTGCCCCCATAATCTAATCACCACCCCCAAGGTCCCTCCCATGACACACAGGGATTACGGGAGCTACAATTCAAGATGATTTGGGTGACGGCACAGCCAAACCGTATCAGATGTGTCCAACAGGTTTTTTTTTTTTTTTGGAACTCTTTGGAAGTAGTTTACAAATAACGAAATGCATTCATTCTAAGTGCACCAATAGATGAGTTTTGACAAATATATACATGAGTGTAATTCCATTACCATCAAGGTACAGAATATTTCTATTACCCTTAAAAGTTTCTTGTGCCCTTTTGTGGCCTATCCCCTGTTGCCAGGCCGCCACTGATCTGTTTTCTACCTCTCTAACATTTAAGGCTGTGCTACATAGAATTTATACTTAGTCACATTACACCATGCCTTGTCTCAAAATCCTCTCCAGTTTTGCCACCCCACTCAGAGCAAAAGCCCACGTCCTTCAAATAACCCACAGAGCCCTGGGCATTTGACCTCCACATATCTCTCTTACATAATCTCCCATTAAGCTCCCCAAACTCTTCCTATTTTCCTTATTTTACTTATTTTTTTATCTATTTCTTCTCAACTTGAAAATGCATATGAAACTCCAGGAGGATGTTGTTTAAAGGATATTCTGATCCAATAGATCTGGGGTGGGGCCTGAGATTCTGCATTTCCGATAAACTGCTAATACGGAGGTATTTTGATTACCAAGGTGCTAGAGCATTTATCACCAACATAAGGGCAGAGGTTTGATCTGTTCTGTTTACCACTGTATTCTCCATGCCTTGATATGGCCTGCCACATAATATTAATAGCTGTGCAATACATAGTCTGTGGCCAAATGAATACATGAGTGAATGACTTTTAAATATAAGGAAACAAAGCTGGCTTCCTAGAGAATTTTTGTTTTCACTGGCTGACTTTGCAGCCACAACAGAGGCAATTCAATTAACGTCCCTCGGCTTCAGTTTCCTTCCCTGATCTGAACGAAGGACACTGAGCACCACCTCTAAGGTCCTTTCTGGCTTGAAATATATTCTTATATGAAGTGTGTGAGAAACAATAATTCCCTAGAGTCTGAAAAATAATTTTCCCAACCAAATCAGAAGGAAAAGCAATTTTGCAAATGTCACTGAAACTTTTCCATTCTTTTCTTAAGTGCTGTTCTTTTTCTCCCCCGCTCTCAACATTTCTAGTCAAGAGCTTTTCCAACATGTGATTTCAGAACAATTATGTGCTAAGTATTATTAAAAGGAAAGAAAGATCCCAGGCCATATTCACAGCCAAGAAGCACCTTAAAAATTCAACATAATATCCCGTGTGTCACTTGACAAGACTGGGCAGCTAATGTGGAGGATGTAGGGGCAACAAACTTATTGTTTAAAATGGTCAAAAATGACTGTCAGTTTCATTAGCCTATTGCCAATCTTCCAGCTGACCTCTGCTTTTATGTTTCCTTTATTAGTGTTCAGGAAGTTCTACCCTTTCTGCTTAGACAAAGGCCGCAGGAATGCCCGAGGCACTAGTAGATTGCAGCAGAGCACGGTTCACACGTAGGAAAGAACCGGTCGTGGAAATCGGTTCACGGACCACTTCAGGGACCACTCACTTCTGGGATGTTTACCTGGCCATTTAGACAAAGCATAGCCTTGTGGTGAGAAAGAAAGATATCATCTGAGGCTATTATATGAATTAAATGAATGAACATCTGAATTCATGTAGCATCTTAGAACCCTGCACAAACATGTTTTCAGTCTATTCAAAATTCTGCCTCCGACTGGGAGGAAAATTACTAACAGCTGGGTAATGAAGTCATATCTGTGTTCTGCAGCTAGCTGAAACCACCTTGTTCCTCTTTATCTGATCCAAATTGTACTACCACTTCAAAATGCAAAAGGGAGGGAAGTTTGAAAGAAAACTTGGATCTCAGAATTCTTGGTAGCTTCCAGATTTGAGACATTGCTTGCAGGTCAGTATTGATTCAAAACTTCTTGATAATTAAACCATTAAGTGAAGCATGGAACTAGTTATGTATTTTATCCAGGTAATGCTCAATAAATAAATACAAATTATTCAAAAGAAAAGTAAGTTATACATCTGATGAACTCTCATACATTAGTCAACCATGCCCACATTTCATTACTATCTTCCTTCCTTTCTTTCTTTCTTTCTTTCTTTCTTTCTTTCTTTCTTTCTTTCTCTTTCTTCCTTTCATTATCTGGGTTTCTTGGTCAATTATTCAATCATCACAGTCATTCAGTGCACTGTTTGTGAGATTTGGAGAACCAATGCAGTGCCAGACACAGAGAACTTCCATGTGCCCAGAAGGAGAATGGAGCTGAGCAAATCCTGGAGATTGACAACTCCTCTTTGCAAGTTATCTCGAAGTATTTTTTTCTACTATGTTACTCATCTGCTCCAAGGCTTTCAAAGGCTCTCTTCTGCCTGTGGAAGAAAGCCTAAACATCTTGGAATAGCATTCAAAGCCTTCCTTAATATTTGGAGAGCATTAGTGGCACACCAGCAGTTACAAAGCTACTATATGTTGAAACCCAAATACCAACCCAGGTGGGGTTGGATCTGAAGCCTAAATTCCTAATTTCTACTCATACAGCTCTTAAGCAGTCTATGCTTCACCTAGAAATGCTTAACATAGGTAAGATCCCCACTGTTTAAAATGGAAGGAACAGTGGAAAACAATTATGGTGTCTGTCCCTTCTCAACGTTAACGGAGGCTTCTGTATGCCTTTACTTTCTGGGTGTTTGTGCACATGCCACTGAGAGCCAGGCGGTTACAATAATAATAATGATATGCCTCATTGCATAGCAGTGGAAAAATTAGTAAAAAAAATAAATAAATACAGGGCATCAGGGCTCTAAATCACTGGCTTAGAATAGCCCTGGTAGAAGGTTGTATTTTCAGGAGTCAAGAAATAAGTCCTAACTTCAATAGATCAATTGTAGGTCTAACAATGTTGCCTTTATTTGCTGTCTGTCAACAACTGTGGAGAAGGTGGAAATAACTCTAATCATCAGTTATATCTGACATAACCTTAATCCTGTCTCTCATCAATGGGGGTCTGTGATGAGAGGTGTGCTCCAGTGGTTTGGAAACATTTTAAAGGAAAACTTAGACATGTGGAGTAATTTGAAAGATGGGAGGGAGGGAGTTGTCTGGCTGCTCTAAGTGAATTGGCAGGAAGGTTTGTGTGAAAGGTCCCATTCAGGCTGACAGGCACAAGGGGCAGACTTTCTGAGATATAATGTGCTTCTGATTGCTGGCTGACAAGGTATTTTCTTTTCTGTCTTCTAAAATATGCAAGATGTACCCATGTTGTGATTTACAACTGGGTTGGGTTTCAGCCACCTGTGAACCTTTGCAAGCTGCGTAGTGAGCTGCCAATGAGAGGAAAGATGTTCTGATAGACGCTTCACCACGTCAGAAAAGTAAAAAAAAGAGAAGTCCCACCCTGCTTTCTAGATGAGATGGTTATTGAGAAAGCAAGAGAATATCAAGTAATAGCTCATTCATCAGGCACCAAAACTAAATGAGAACTTCAATATAAATAAATTTTCCAGATAAATGAAAAAAAAGTGATGCAAACTTTCTTTTTTCTTTAGTATAGTATAATGTGTAGCATTTAACATCTTGAAAAATTGATATCATTCTTGTTAGCCTCACTGACTGTGTTGTCCTATGTTGAAAAGACACTGAATCATTTATTTTGATATCAATTATTAATTGATTACTTCTTTTGTCCAGCCTCTGGGCTAATGCTGGAGGTCAAATGGGGAATAAGACTGACAACCTCCAACCACATGAGGGTTGCTAAGACATAGAAAGCCATATGCTTAAATCCCAGTCACCTAAGCTGTTTATGTTCTCACTTCTGTTTATTTCCACCAGTGTGTTTTATTAATGTTACTTATTTAAATAACAAAAAAACAAAGAACAACAAATGGAAGAGAGAAAGGAAGGAAGGAAGGAAGGAAAGAAGGAAGGAAAGAGGACAGAAAAAAGAGAAAGAAGAAAGGAAGGGAAAGGAAAAGAAAGGAAGGAAGGAAGGAAAAAGAAAAAGAAAGAAAGAAAGAAAGAAAGAAAGAAAGAAAGAAAGAAAGAAAGAAAGAAAGAAAGAAAGAAAGAAAATAAAGAAAAGAGGCAAGTATCTACCCTGTTCCAAGCATAATATTAGGCACTGGGGGATAAAACAGTATAACAGTAAAGTCAGGTGAATATTTCCCGACCTCAAAGGGAGACGTTTTAACTTGTTAATCATCTTTAATTCTATGTTCCCAGAATCATGATTACACATAGAATCATTGCTAAATATATGTCCATTGGGTGACTGATCTGTCCTTGAATGAATGAATATGTTCAGGTTGGGAAAATATATTGTACAAGTTTGTTTGAAGTGTGTCAAAACCAGAGACAAATGGTTTTAAATTATTTTCCCCAGAGCATTTTTTTACTTGAGAGTCTTCAAGATACTAGGTCTTAGCATTCATATAACTGGTTCCATTTGTCATATAGAGTAAGTAACTGAAGAAATTGTTCTGTATTAATCCTAAGTTCCATTTATTCTACAGCTATGACAAACTGAAAATGAGAATTAAGGGCACGATGAAAATATTTGATTACTTTTTTAAGGAGAGGGGTAGTTAAGGAGTTAGCTGTAGGCCAGGCACAGTGGCTCATGCCTGTAACCCCAGCACTTTGAGAGTCTGAGGCGGGTGGATCCTGAGGTCAGGAGTTCAGGACCAGCCTGAGACAGTGAAACCCTGTCTCTACTGAAAATACAAAAATTAGCTGGCGTGGTGGCAGGCGCCTGTAATCCCAGCTACTCAGAAGGCTGAGGCAGGAGAACCACTTGAACCCGGGAGGCAGAGGTTGCAGTGAGCAGAGATGGCACCATTGCACTCCAGCCTGGGTGACACAGTGGGACTCCATCTCAAAAAAAAAAAAAAAAGTTAGCTGTAAAAATAAAATGGGGAATAGAAAGTTTAAGATAGTTTTTATTTATTGTCTCATTTTCTGGTCACAGAATTGGTGCATTGTACTTTGATATCAATAAATAGGGTTGTTTAATATGTCTGACATAAAAGAGTACCTTATCAGCTGGGCACAGTGGCTCATACCTGTAATCCCAACACTTTAGTAGCCCAAGGCAGGAGGATCACTTAAGCCCAGGAGCTCAAGACAAGGGTGGGCAACATAGGGAGACTCCATTTCTACAAAACATTTTTTAAAAATTAGCCAGGTGTGGCATAACCTGTGGTCCTAGCTACTAGAAAAGCTTTTGAGGTGGGAGGATCATTTGAGCCCAGGAGCTTGAGCCTGCAGTGAGCCATGGTTGCAACACTGCACTCCAGCCTGGGCAACAGAGCAAGACCATGTTTCCCAGAAAAGAGTACCATATAAGGGGAATGTGCTACAAAGAAAGCAAAATAATGCTTAGGGTTAGTTAATTTGTGGCCTACTGACATGCTTCTAATAAGTGAATTTTTTACATAATGTCCTTTTTTGTTGATATTTGCAAATATCTCTTTATTTCATAAGATATGTGAATATTTCAATTGTCTTGACTATTTGCTGATTAATCACAAGCAAGATTAACTGAATGTACAGAATATTAATCCCCTAGAGCAAATAACAGCCCTGGTCATTTATTCTTACATTTGGAAACAGAATAAGAATTTTGTTATTCATCAAAGAGGGACTCTAGTCAACATTTCTGATTGACTAATTTGTTGATGATTCAGGTGGCCTCTAGTGAGTTCCGTTTCATTTACTTCCTTAGTTGTTCTATCAAGCAGTCTATGATGATGCAAAGGTAGTCTTTTTAGCTCGGGACACTTTTCTTCAGTTGAAAGTAGCTTGTATCTTTTCTCAAAAAATTCCAATTAAAATATTAGTTATTGTTTATTTTAAAATGCATAAAACACTATACTACTAAACATTTCCAAATTTCCTCTGGGTGTCACTGCTCTATTCTGATAGATTTCCGTAGAAAATTATTATATTGGAGAATTTTAGGAGGCTCCATTTTAGAGCATTCTAACTGGCAAAGTGCTACTTAAAAGCTTTTACACTCTATAGCTGATTGTCAGAAATATTCATTTTGTGTTCATGGTGTTACACATGGTGTTACAGTAGGTAGCTAGTCAGGCATGAGCGGGGCAGGAAAGGGCTCCCCGCACACCCCACCAAGAAAGTCAGGTGACCCTGGGCAGGTGGCTGTTAACTGTCTCTCTAAAATAATAATTGGTCACAGCCAGCACCAGGGAAAGGCAGTCTCCCTATATAGATAGGAAATACCTGAAACTGGTGATGCGCAGCTTCCTCATGAGATCTCAGGAGTTGGGCGAGTGAGCTCACACATGTACATTAAGAGGCAAAATGGCAAAGTTTAACTGGTATATGACCTTCGGAGGGCATTCCACCGGAAAAGGGACAAAAGATGCAGGAAGTAGGACAGCATGTAAAAACTGTAAGTCCGGGATCAAACAGTGCACTTGACCTCCAAGATGTCCACATGACCCTCTTCCAAGTGTACTTTACTTTCTTTTCATTTCTGCTCTAAAGCTTTTTAATAAACTTTCACTCCTACTCTAAAACTTGCCTCTATCTCGTCTTCTGCCTTATGCCCCTCAGTCAAATTCTTTCTTCTGAGGAAGCAAGAATTGAGGTTGCTGCAGACCCGTATGAATTTGCCATTACTAACTTGAATAACTTCCACTGCTAACAATATCTCTGTAGGTAGATATTTTTATCACATGCATATTTCTAGGGAAGATGCTTGCTCTATATTGCATATCCCTCCCTACCTTATGGGAATCTTGGAAATCAAATGTTCTTTGCTGTGGTAGCTTGTGTTCAAAGGCTTCCATCAAGCCCTTCCTTTGCCGCACTGTATGATATTCCCCCATGCAGCAAAGGAGTCTACCCTTGCATCCCCTTTAATCTGTGCTGGCTTGGGATTGTGTTGAACCACTGAATATGGTAAAATGGATTCTCTCTCAGTTCTCGATCTAGTTGTTAAGAGGACTGGCACTTTCTTCTTGCCTTTTGTAGTACCAAGTGGCCATGTAGGAAGACCTGGCTACTCTGCTGTCAGGAGATGCTACAGATAGGAGCACGGAGATATGGGGCCGGTGAGTGATGATCACCTGGGATGTCTAGCCCAGTGAGCCTTCAGATGACTTCAGCTTCAACCACCATCTTGCTGCAACTGTTTGAGAGGCCCCCAGTGAGAACCACCCAGCAGAGCCTATGTAGGTTTTTTGGGTGGTTTGCTCTGCAGCAATAGGGCACTAGAACACATGCTCTCTTAGTAAAATACTGTGGTTGGACACAAGCATGAATGATGGAGAAGTACGAGAGGAGAGAGAACTACAAAGCCGGAAAGATCAGCATGAGAAGATCAAAACTCAAACCACAACAAACTCATCCGGCGCCTAACATGGTGGTTTTTTTCCAAATTTTTTTTTCTTCTTGTATATCCATGAACTTTCTTTCTCTTAAGAATCATTTCTTTCATTATAAACTAATATAATAGCTCTGGAAAACACCTGGAAACTAGAGAAGAGAAAAATGTTTCTCCATTATCCCCTCATCCTTACATGACTTCAGTTAGCTATTTGGTAATTTCTCATCACATTCTTTTTCCTCCATCATGTGCATTAAGTTTCATTTCCTTAAAATGATAGTCAAAGGGAAATCAAGTTTAGTGGTGCCTGAAACTTGTATAACTTCAGGAGGGAAAAAGAAAAATATTATATTAAAATAAAATTAAAATAATCTTAGTTTAAAAATTTATACAAAAGCCTATAACCATATGAAACACAGTTACAGCCTCCGTAAGGGCCTTTGAAGGGCTTCCGTAAGTGAGAGATCCTGCAACTAAAGTTTCACCAGCATCATGGTAAAACTACCTTTGACCATAATAATGTATATATGAAATAGCATCCTGTTATTTTCTCTTTTATTATATCAAAATAATTTTTCATGTTGAAGCTTAGCCTTTATAATATGAGCTTTAAAGACTGCACATTCTTCTGTTGAGTCAGTACACTCTAATTACACTAATGTACAGTTTATGAACCTTGGAGCTACTCACATTTTGGGCTGGATAACTCTGTTGTAGGGGCGCTGTCCTTTGCCAAATGTCCACTGGGGGGCAAAATTGAGAGCAACTACCCTAATCAATCCTCTATCCTGGTTACTTATATTATTTCCTTTTTCATGATTATAATTGAAACATTTTCATGCATGTGAGTTTATTCAATTTTTTAACTTCTTTCCCTTAGAAATGGAACTACTATGTTAAAGGGAATGGCATTGACATGGCTTTTAATGTATACTCCTAAATTTTCTTTCCCAAAAGCCTTATAGTTTTCTGAAATGTAGGACAACACATTTTACTACAGATGTAGATATGTTTAATATATAATAATTGCATATTCTAATTACAACAAAATAGTATATGTTAACTATATATTACACTGAAGATATCATACTTAAAACAGTTTTCTTTCCTTTTTTTTTTTTTTTTTTTTTTTTGCCCATAAACTCTATTTTCTGAAAAACCTATGCTCTAATAGAATGGTCAGCTAAGAAATTCCAAATTGACTCTATCCTTTTTTTTTTTTTTTTTTTTACTTTAAAACTCTAAAAATTATATTTTGGAAAAGAATTGCTCTATTTCCACCAACCAGGAGAAGGAACTTGAAGATATCTTTCTAGACTGTTGTTTTTCTTACCATCTGCATGCTTGAGCCCTTCTCAGGGAAAATCTATATTTAAATTCAGAAAGCAAGCAGTAAAATTGTTTCAACATGATGCATTTGCTGATATAAGGAAACTGTAGGCTTCCTGCTCCCCACGGTGGTTCAGGAGCAGGGATTAAGACACACCCAGCTTCCCAGCCTGTGTCTACACCTGTCAAGATGGATAATTAACTGCTCCCCCACTTTTTCCCTGTCCATCACCGCAAAAGCTCCATTATTCTCCCTTCCTCAATTCCAAAGAGAAACGCATATCTCAGTTGCTTTGTATCAGGAATAGAATAAAGAAAAATGGCTTTTTGCTCTGTCTGATGCCTGCTGACAACATCCCAGCTCTCTGAGGGGAAGCTCTGGATCCTCTCTCCCAGATGGCTGGAAGCAACGCCCCCGTTGTTTCACTCCAGTTCCACAAGGTAGGGCAGAGATCTCTCAGCAGGGACTCCAACAGCCTATGCCCTTAAGGAGTCCATAAGCCCCTCCTACAGAACTGCCTTCCTCACTCCACTCCAATTTTAGGGAGTGACTGCCAATGCTCTAAACCATGAGGACAGGTTTTGTAGTGGCTGGAGGAATTGACATAGTAACAGGCTGTCAAAGAAGTAAATATAATGGTTTCATTAAAAGTCTGTCACAAGGGCCGGGGGCGCAGTGGCTCCTGCCTGTAAGTCCAGCACTTTGGGAGGCTGAGGTGGGAGAATTGCTTGAAGCCAGAATAACCGGGCATGGCAGCGCCTGTACCTGTAGTCCCAGCTGCTGGGGAGGCTAGGAGTGTTCCTTGAGCCCAGGAGTTCAAGGCTGCACTGAGCTGTGATTGCACCACTGCACAGCAGCATGGATGACAGAGTGAGATCCTGTCTCAAAAATAAAGTCTGTCACAGAAGGAATATTCCACGATCATTCACATTCATCTCAAAGATGATGCCTTCCTTACACCTTATACAAAAATTAATTCAAGATGGATTAAAGACCTAAACGTTAGACGTAAAACCATAAAAACCCGAGAAGAAAACCTAGGCATTACCATTCAGGACATAGGCATGGGCAAGGACTTCATGTCTAAAACACCAAAAGCAATGTCAACAAAAGACAAAATTGACAAATCGGATCTAATTAAACTAAAGAGCTTCTGCACAGCAAAAGAAACTACCATCAGAGTGAACAGGCAACCTACAAAATGGGAGAAAATTTCCGCAACCTACTCATCTGACAAAGGGCTAATATCCAGAATCTACAATGAACTCAAACAAATTTACAAGAAAAAAACAAACAACCCCATCAAAAAGTGGGTGAAGGACACGAACAGACACTTCTCAAAAGAAGACATTTATGCAGCCAAAAAACACATGAAAAAATGCTCACCATCACTGGCCATCAGAGAAATGTAAATCAAAACCACAATGAGATACCATCTCACACCAGTTAGAATGGCAATCATTAAACAGTCAGGAAACAACAGGTGCTGGAGAGGATGTGGAGAAATAGGAACATTTTTACACTGTTGGTGGGACTGTAAACTAGTTCAACCATTGTGGAAGTCAGTGTGGCGATTTCTCAGGGATCTAGAACTAGAAATACCATTTGACCCAGCCATCCCATTACTGGGTATATACCCAAAGGAATATAAATCATGCTGCTATAAAGACACATGCACACGTATGTTTATTGCGGCATTATTCACAATAGCAAAGACTTGGAACCAACCCAAATGTCCAACAATGATAGACTGGATTAAGAAAATGTGGCACATATACACCATGGAATGCTATGCAGCCATAAAAAATGATGAGTTCATGTCCTTTTTGGGGACATGGATGAAATTGGAAATCATCATTCTCAGTAAACTGTCGCAAGGACAAAAAACCAAACACCGCATGTTCTCACTCATAGGTGGGAATTGAACAATGAGAACACATGGACACAGGAAGGGGAACATCACACTCTGGGGACTATTGTGGGGTAGGGGGAGGGGGGAGGGATAGCATTAGGAGATATACCTAATGCTAAATGATGAGTTAATGGGTGCAGCACACCAGCATGGCACATGTATACATATGTAACTAACCTGTACATTGTGCACATGTACCCTACAACTTAAAGTATCATAATAATAAAATAAAATAAAATAAAAAGGAAGAAAAAAAATTGCATTTCCTCCTTCCATTCATCCTTCTGTACCTCTCCTTCCATCTGCCTTCCTGCCTTTTTTCCTTTCCAGGTCTCTTTCTTCTTCCTCCCTCTCACTGGCCCATTTCTTCTCCTTCCTCCAAAGTGTTTTTATCAAATGTCATGAAAATGGAAGTGTAACCGGGATTATCTTTTAATCTTAATATATTCCCCTCCATACTCTCAAATTCCACAGATGGCTTTATGGTTTTGCTCTATTTCTGTTTAATGTGAATCTTTAGAATCAGTTAATAGAAATCTACCATATTTAGCTCCTGGAAATGTCCTTAATGAAAGCTGACAACAAATGGAGTGCTTATGACAGGGAAATGGAAAGTGAAGACAGGAACATGAGGACCTCTCTTGCAACTCCCTGGGAAGTTTGGGGAGGTTGGTGTGAAATGCAGGCCAGGTGGCATAAACCATATGTGTGGAAGAGATTGCTTCCCCAGCAGCTGCCTAGCAACCAAAATGTGTACCTGACAGGGCTTTTAACGGGCAAGGTGATGCTGTGCCTAGGTACTTAGTAAATGATAAAACAGCTTTCTTGCTGAAGGATCTGATACTGCTCAATAGCTCAGAAGAATCTAATACGTTCCCAGTTTAAACGCTCATTTTGTTTTATTTAAATAGAAATACTCCAAAAGGTAGGCAATGTAGATTGATTGTAAAATATATTAGACTGGCAAATAAGACACTAATTTTAGATTAAGGTAGGAAACAAAATACCAATGCCCTGAAGAAGGTAATAGGCCCCTCTAAACCCCAACTTAACCATTACTTAAGCTTTGGGTATTAGGTTAAACAGAGCCCAGTAGATCAGATTTTAGCATTAAACTCACTATCATTTTTACATTGCTATATACATAAATTTCCATTTCTAGTTTTTTATGTAATCAAAAGAAATTAAACCAAATTTATGAAACAAAATTATTTCTGCTTGAAAAAAATTTGTGAGTCCTAAACTTTTGGATGAGTGGAAACAATTTTTTATTTCTGATATATAACATCATCACAACTTTTTCAAGACAAGTGTGCATATACATATATATATATATTTTAATCTGGATGAATTTATAAAATCTCAAGGAACTATTTATTTTACCACCCTTTCCTTTCTACCTCCTGGGATGGTCAGGATTAATTTTTCAAATGTATACAGAGGGGAGGTACAGAGATAGGAGAAGCATTGCTGAAATTTTGTAGGCAAGCATTAATTTTTATCAACTCTACATATCTTGGAGGATAGATTGTGAGTACAAATATAGAAGGCTGGCTTAATTTCCTAGCAGGAAGTGTTTTAGGCACAAGGAATGCATACATACATATATAAATACACACACACTAAGATATACATATTATATATATTACTATCACATTCCAATTGTAATAATTATGTCTTGCCATTTTTGTTCAAAAAGTAAATGTATTTAATCTAGTTGGTTTGGACTAGAATCAAAACATCATAACACATGTACTAATTATACTCACTCTTTTCTCTAGAGACCTGTGTAAGTCCTGCAAGTATCATTTAGTGTGACATTTGTCTCTTTAATATAATTCTTTTACAGAGCAGAGAATTACGGTCTTTTGTTACATGGGTCTGAATAATTGTTAACAATGTGTACTTCCCTCTGCTGAGGTTTTTCATTTCCACTTATTATTCACACACTCTCCTTTAGACAAAAAAGACCATGACCCTATTCATTTTTCTAAATTCTCTCTTCTAAATCTAGTTTAATTTTCTACCTTGGGTCCATCAGTATATCACTGCATCAAAACCTAGTTTAAATTTTCATTACTGTCACCTAATAAAAATGTCCCATTCTTGCATGAATAGATTAATGAAATAAAATAAAAATCCATAAGTAAATAAAAATAAGACAATTTGGTATGTAGCAAACTTGACAAAACAAATTGGTAATGAAAAAGATAATTATTCAATAAAAACTATTGTTACAACTGGAATCTGGGGAAAAAAACAGCCTGAACTTAGTTTCACACTTTATATAAAAATAAACCTGGATCAAACCAAATGCTTGAATATAAAAACTGAAAGTGTTCATTAATAATGGACAAATCAGACTCTTGTGATTGTAGGCCAACAGTAAAGACATATAATAGTTGAAAAGTGCAATGTACTATTTTGATTGAGTGGAGAATATACATGTCGAAGTACATGTGGGCATTCGTAAAACCTAACCACATTTTAGTAATAAAGCTAATCTTATCAAATTTTGAAGTATTGGTATCATGCTGAACATATTCTTTGATTATAATGCAATGTAGTTTAAATAAATAATCAAAAAGTTACAAGGAATACTCCTTTTTTTATAGATACAAAAACATACTTCTAAACAATTCATGGATCAAAGGAGAAATAATGGAAATCAGACTGTATTAACAAGTAGATTATAGCAAATATATTAGGTATCAAAGCTTGTAAGATGTAGTTAAGACTTAAGAAGAAATGGTCTTAAATATTTACTTTAGAAAATAAGACAGACTTGAAGTTAGGGAATGCTGCATCCAATTTAGGCATTTAAAAATATAACTGACAAATACCTACATCCAAAGCATATGAGAGATGCTTTATGAGTCAATAAGAAAAAATCCAAGAAACTCAACAGAGAAAAACAAATGTGCAGAACACTTGAAAAGATACTTCATAGAAGTGAAAACCTGAATAAACATCCGAAAAGATGCTCAACTTTGTTAGTCCAGAACATTCACATTTTAATCACAGTGAAATATGATTTCATACACACCAGATTGAAAAGCTTGACACTGACAGTTATGAGCAAGGATGTGGAGCCACACAGCTCTCCTCCACTCCTGATGGGAAGATAAATGAGAACTATCTGGAAAACAGTAACTAATTATACATAGCTAGGCTGAAAATACTCATAGCATACAATGCAAAAATTCTAGTCCTTGTTATACTCCAAGAGTTACAGAACTCTTGAAATCATGTGCACTTGGGGGCAATGACAAGAATATTCATAGCAACATTGTTGGAAATAGCAAAAAAAGTAATCAGCACAGAAACGTACGTTAAACTATTTGAAAATATTACATCTGGGGAAGGGCACAGGATGGCTGGAGAAGGAGGGTGTGAGGGAGACTAGCTTATTTCCTCCTTCTGAATTTTGTGACTGCAGTACAATGCTTGTATATTAACTACTGAGAAAATAAATAAAATAACGTTAAAATGACCAGCAACACAACTACCCAGTTCTCATTCCTTCAAACCCTTTTAAGAGACTGAACAGTAAAAATCTGTCAGTAACTAGTTGAATGTCAATAAAAGGCACTTCCTTAAAAGATGAAACTTTTCCTTATTTTTAAAAACATATCCAAAGAGAGGACGGACTATATAAAATCCCTGCAAATGTTCCTTGAGCATATGCGAGAGGTTCTGGGGGAAGTGTTGCTGTTCATACCCACTTTGAGGAGGAGGAGTAAAATACATCTAAAATAACATGGGAGAAAATTTAAATTGCCTTTTTCTCCTAGGTATATGCAACTATTAATACTGCCGTAAAGAACACAGAGGGGTATTTTTGTGCATGGTTTAATCTTTTGGAAAATGATAAATGGATACATAATTAAATACAATTATGATGTTACTACAGATTTACATGAATGTCTTCATAACAGCATAATTCAAAATGATTCATCAATATTTCTTGAAATAGAATGAAAACAAGTTAAAAATTTCAGTACAAAGGAAAAACATCAAGTGTGTGATTTTGATATATGATAAACATCTGATACTGAAGGGACTGGAAGTACAAACCACCTACCCGTCCACAATGAGGAATCGTTAGAAGGTTATTGTGTAGAACTGTTTTTTTCACTGTTGAAGCATTATGTAGTTAGCAGCTTCTCCTCACACCCTCTTACTTCATATCTGATGCTCTTTTAGCATTATATAGGAAATATCCATTTCAATTTCTCTGGGAATTGTCGCAGCACTTTTCGCCCCTTGTTTTCATAAAAGGGTCTAATGATTGAATACGTATTATCTAGTATTGGTCATGGGTGCCTTTTGCGTCCTCTTTTACAGAATGTTACCAGCTATAATGGATTGAACAAATAAGGCTTTACTTTCTTTTATGTAAGAGTTACGGAAATCCCGGCATTGGTTCACCAGCTCAACAATTTTAGGACTGAAACTTTTACATTTTTACTGGGCAGATCCTCAGTGTCATATGATGGCTGCTGTAGATCCTGCCAAAGAAGATAGAGTATCTTCATCACAAGCCAGTTCCTGACCTTCCCACTAGAGGTAAATCACTGTTCTAATATCTGTCACCACAGACTAATTTGCCCCTTCTAGAACCTCGTATGAATGGAATAACTTAGAATGTAACCTGTTATGAATGGAATAACTTTTGTGTCTGGCTTCTTTCATTCAACTTTTTTTAGATCTATTCATGTTATTATATTCCTGAGTTTTACTGCACTGTATGAATACATCATCATTTCTTCATCCATTGTCCTATTGATAGACATTTAGATTGCTTTCAGTTTTTGGCTGTTATGAATAAAGCTGTTATGAACATTGATGTAAAAGTCATTGTGTGGATTCATATGTCTTCATTTACATTGGTAGAAATGCAGAAGTGGAATTGCTGAGTCATAGGGCTGAGGTATGTTTAGTTTTATAAGACACTGCCAAAGAGCCCTCTAAAGTGGCTGCACCATTTTACATAATGTAGTTATTCTTGATGACTGCATAATTTTGGAATTGATGCATCATCAATTACGTCATTGTTACCACATTATTAGACATTTATTTTATATTGTTTTCAGTGTCGCTTTTCTAAAATAGGAAATGCTGCATTGAACACCTCCATATACATAATATTTTATCTGTTACTGGAATAGTTCTGCTATCAGAATATTCAATAGAGAAACTAGGGGTGGGATTACTGAGCACTGTTATGACTTTTTAATTTCCCAAAGGTCTGTGCTAGTTTATTTTTTCAATTAATTAAAAAAATTGTTGCTAAGCCCTTTCCTTTTTATTGAGTTGTAACATAATTACAATAATGTGCATAGATCTTAAGTTTACAGCTTGATGAATTTTTACGTATATAAAATACAACAACTATGGCCCAGATGAAGAAATGGAACATTTTCAGCATCTTGGAAACCCTTCTGCTTCTTCCAGACTGTACTATGCCTCACAAAAGGAACTACTATTTTGACATTAATCCCATAAAATGATTGTACTTGTGTTTATACTTCATATAAGTGAAATCATATACTTTACTAGCCCTGGCTTTGACTTGCCTTTCCATTGGCCTTCCCTGGGCAACCAACATTCTTACTGTCTTCCAATATGGTAAAACATTCAGTGTAATAAGAGTAGTCTTGACTCGCAGTATAGTTATTGAATCCATGCTGTTTATTTATTTTCATTTGTAAGATTTAAAATATAAAATAGAACTTTTATTCCAAGTCCAATCTTAATTTTTGATATTGATGGGGAAAACCTGAAGCATATTTAACAAAAATAATGGTCACCATTTGGTGAGCTCAGAAATGGATACTAGGTGCTATTTAAGGAATTTATATCCATAATTTCATTTAATCTTTTTAATAATCCAAGAAAAAGATACAATTATACCCATTTTTCTGTATAAGAAATCTGAAGCTAAAAGATATAAAATTACCTTACTAAATCTTACAGGGCTAGTATGGCTGAAGAATGCATACTCAAGTGTGTCTGGCATCACCCAGATGTGTCTGACACCACTGCCCATAACTACACTAGAGACCAGACCTTTAAAATTACAAATGCTCAGTCAACAGAGAAAAGTCTAAACAAACATCAGAGGATGCTTGAACTGGCCCTGTTTTGCTCTGCTCTTTATTAAAAGCTGGAGGCAAGCTGCTAAAGATGAGGGGTGAAAACCTGACTTGATGTAATTGCCAGGCATAGTTTTTTGCATTAGCTGCCCTCTTCAGTCATTATCAGCTTTACCAGCAAATTGAAACAGTAGGTGCATATTAACATTGCAGCCCACAGCTGGCCATATTACTGCTAATCCGGGCCATTTTTTCATTAAAATTCAATTAAAACCCCAAGACATCAGTATACAAAATTGTATAGAATGTAATGAACAGAGCAGCCAATGACTGAAAAACAGCATGGATTCAACAACTATACTGTGAGCCAAGACTACTCTTACGCTAAATATTTTACCATATTGGAGGACAGTAAGAATGTTTATTACCAGGAAAGGCCGATGGAAATGTATTAATAAGTCAAAGCCAGGGCTTATCTCTGAAGGCAGCTGGACACCATTTAACCCAAGTGATTTTCTAGTTCCAAATGAGAAGAAGGCATTAAATAGTATAATACACTAGAAATTGCAAATAGATTTTTACACTACAGAAACCAGGTCCCAGTTAAAAGCTAGGTAAAAATGCATCAAAGAAACATCAAATTAGATATATTTGATAAAAATGCATACATCAAAGAAACATCATCATCAAAAGAAAATGATAGAGCCAGTGCTCAAATAAAATTTCAGGTCTGTGTGACAGCTTCATTTATAGAAATGAACATAGGAGTCCAACCTTTTTTTAAATATAAATTCCTTTTTACAACTTAAAAAATTAGAGTATCAAGGAAGTAAAATTGTATGTGCATAAATCATTAGCGTGTAAATCAATGAGGTTTCACAAAATTAACATACTCAGGTATCTCCACCGCTGATCATGATATAGGATATTTAGTGTGTTTCATAAGCCACTCATATGCCCTATCCTGGTTACTATCCCGCTCCAAAAGTAACAACTATTCTTTCATTTTAAGGGTAACCATTCATAGTAACACAGGCTTCAAGTATGCTGATGCTTTGGAAAAAAAATACTAAAAATTGATTTTCAATCCCAATTTTCATTTTTTAGGAGCTGAACAAATGTCATGACAATTTAACAGAATAGAGCTACAGAAAGAGCTAACAGAATAGAGCTACTCATCATCATCCTCTAGCCTCCAAGCAAAAAAAAAAAAAGCTGTTTTTTTCAATTGTTGGATAGAATTTTATGAATTTTATTTCATTTCATTCAGGTATTTTTAAGAGACTGCACAAAGTTGATTTTTCTTTAAAGTTCTACTTTATCCATTTGACAACAACACAACCAATTGTTGGTAAAAACAAGAAAATTAAGTCAGTTTTTCCAGTGTTTGTGTATAGTGATTTCCCTGATTTCTCCTTTTTAAGATCTCTCTGTGCCCAAAGGCACAACACGGTCAATTAGGGTTTAAGTAAATTGTGTCCCCTCAGTACAGTTTTTTAGTGTGAAATTAATCAGCCTAATTGAGATTGATTATTTGAACTTGGCCTTATCAACACCAAAATCAAATTAACTAGAATATTGCCATGCTGACAGATATTTATGACATTTCAACCCCAAATAAATGCAAACCTTGAAAATGCTTCTAAATCCTTAATACTGATTATAAATAAATAGCATGCCTTTCTCCCAAGGTCAGGTTTTTTCCATAATTGGTCTGCAATTAGCTCCTTTTTTTTTTTGGCTATATATATGGGTTAAGAAGATATTTTATAATGAATTTATGTTCCCCTCTCTATCCACTGCCCTTCAATTTGAGTTGAAAAATTACTTTTTTTTTCCCCCTTCTCCATAAATGTCACTGTCAGCAGTTTCCTTCTGGACATTGGAAGGCTTTGTAAAAGTAACTGAAGGGATATAGGCTATTAATCATGATTTTAAAAATTATTTTACATATATAAAATTTATATCTTTCTAAAAGCAGGTGGTTGAACAATTAACCTCTGCTTACACTTCTCCAAAGGTTCTTAGCAAGTCCCAAAGATGCCTGCAAGGCACTAGGAAGTAGGTGCAGTAATGTTCCCAGCTGTGGCAGTACACAGACGCTCCCTCCCTCTCCTACATCTCACCCCTACAGTAAAACTATTTCTGGGGAAAATGGAGAGGGTTTGAGTTACTCAGATATTATTTTTAGATGACTTCTAAACAGGGATCAGTAAATCTTAGACAGCACTGCCACTTTTCATACAAACAAAACAACTCTGGCTTACAAAGAGTGTCAATGAAAAGTGTCAGGATCCCAAGGTCTTGCATCATTTAAGGAGACCCTGCAGTTTGACACTTGGTTTTACTTCTTAATTGCCTCATCTGCTCCGTTTAACTTTACTCAACTAGACTTATAAATATTTAATCAGAACATGGCTGCCTGCTTAAAAAAGGAAAAAGAAACCCTGACTGATACTGTTGGCCAAACATGACCTTGAGAAGACAAAGACACGTTTACAAGGTTATTCTCATCCTAATTTGCATTTAAGGAGAGAAACAAGTGCCATGACCGATTAGCAAAACGAAGTTATTAAAAACAATTGACCTAGGCTTAGGTATCCTGTAGAAAGAAACTGAAAAAATAAAAAGAAAGAGAAAACTCATAGTGTTCCCCTCCCCTCCCTCAAAGGAAAAAACAAAACAAAACCCAGGAGGTTCATTTTTTTCATGATTTATTGAATTTTCTGAATTCCTAAAGCCATATGGGTGTATTTTAAATGTTTATTTTTCTTCAAGCATCTTCTCTAATGTTAGTTTATAGAATATTATAGTTTTGACTAGAGTATGTAAATGTATTTAATAACAATCTTGCTATTTTTTGGATATGAAGGCTTTTAATACATAGCATTGAAATAAATTAAGATTTTGTTTGTATTTTATACTTTGTTTTGTTGCTGTATTTTTCAACATATATATCAAATTTTGAAATGATTGTTGGAAGCTTTTTGGTATTTTAAAATCAATCAGTTGATTAACCAATTAATTAATTAGTTAATGTGAAATTTCACGTATTAACTCCGCCCAGTTGATTCCATACAACACACGCTCCCCATGCAGGCCTCTGGGTGGCATGGTTTCTGCATCCGTGGAGTTGCTTCCTCTGTGTCTCACTGGGCATTTCTCAGGCACACAGTCTCTAGTTTTCAACTCTGACAATGCACAAGCATCTTCTTCCCTCCCAATGCGCAATGATCTGAGTAACCTTAATATACTAAGCTCTGAGTAAATTCCATTTGTCCCCTTTTAGTGGGTTTAAAAGTGTTGTTCAGTAACCCAACTGATGTCTGCTACTAACACCATATCTGTGGCCAACTATTCACTATATCTCAGGTCTTCCCTGAGACTTTCAATCAAATTCTCATACTGCTAGATTCGTTCACGGTCATGTGCTTTCCTTTTTTTCTCTTTTCTTTGGAGGTGTTGTCTCTCTCCATATATATATATATATATATATATAGAGAGAGAGAGAGAGAGAGAGAGAGAGAGAGCCAAATATATATATATTTGTTGTCGTCTCTCTCCATACACACACACACACACACACACACACACACATATTTGTTATGATCAGGATCATTTGCAAAACTTCCTCTTGACTCTAATTTTTGCTCCAAAGACTTGCTAATCTTTCTTTTGAATCCTCACTAAATCACAACTTCCTGAGCCGTATACATTCTCTTTCTACTATATCCCTAGTGTCTAGACTAGTTCCTGGCACAGAGTTGGCATTCAGTAAACACTGAGGGGAGGGTTGTTTAGATGGGTGGATGAATAAAGGCAGCAGGGATAACAGGCCTACTACCCCCTTTGTCCAAGGATTATATGACCCTTTCAAAGATACAAGCTCTCAGTTCATCACTTCTGTAGAGGATGATGAGCATCTACAGCAATCTCATCCTCAACTGCCGATTCCATTGAGGACCACGAATCATGCTCTATGGCCAACATTTTATTTGATAGCTTAACCAGCACATTACACCCAGTTTGACTAAAATGTCCCAGCAATTGACTGGCATTGATTTAATTTAAGATTTCCTTATTTGAGAAGCAGGGGCCTCATCCCACCCCACCAACTTTCTTGCCTCAACAAATTAGTCTTAAATAAAGATAAGCCTTTATTTCACATTCTTATCTTAATTATCCTCCTATGTTTGAAATAATGTACAAACAAGGACATATTTTACTTTTTTGTGGCTTAGAACACTTAGTTTTAAAACTTCTTATATTTATTGTAATTAAGACTAATGCAAGCTTCGTATACTTATTGTAATTAAGACTATTCAATGCCTTGTTTTCCAATTATTCATACTTAAAATGGTAGTGTCTGCTTTATTTGCACAGGAGACTGTTTCATTGTTCCAAACTCATTTTCCTTAATTTGTCTTTTCTGGGTTCCAAGAAAAGGGCGTTGCATTCTGCTTGACCACGTGTGTCAGTTGGGGAGAAAGTGTAGATCATAGGGTGCTGGAAGAAGACTAGGCTTTGAATTTTATTGGTCTATTCTGAATGGCTTTTGTCCTTCTTAGTGGACTCCAGGAGAAGATAAATTGTTAGCGTAACCACAGGCCAGAATGAGGATGATGTCATAGATAAAATGGGTGTATTAAATTGGTTTCCCCTAGAAGCAGAGCCTGAGATGGGGAGGTAACAGAGATTCTTAGAAAATGATTTATTGAAGAAGGGCTCTCAGGAAACGCTTGTAAGGGAAGAAGGGAAGCAAGATGTGTGTTCAATCCAAGGGGAGCTCCAGATCCTACATTGCATCTCTGTATCTGTCTAGCCTTGAGGTGAGGCGACTGAATTTTCATACCACAGGATTAGAGAGTCCTTGCATACCAGCTTTAGGGTGCATGGGGATAGTAGCAGACTGCCTATCACAGGAGAAGGTGACTCTTGGCTCTCAAGGACAATCTTCTGGAGGCATTTTTAGCTTCCAGCTTTAGTGTCAGCACTCACTGTTCTAGTGATTTAGTCAAGGCCCTGCCTAATCACATTTGCTACAATGGAAAAATCTGATGTTAAGAAAGAAGGAGAATATAGTTTGCACTCCCGAACTTTGTTTGGTTTCTGTGTGGTTGAAATGCAATTCACAATTTTACCTTTTCTTGAAAAAGTGGTGTTTAGTTATATATCTGTGTTTCTATGATAAAATAGCTGAGTTAGAGGTGAACTTTTAGAATGCAGTCCATGCTTAAGTACCAATGTATTTGAACTAGCATTCCATTGGATCATTGGATGTATTGGATTCTGTGAATCATAATTTATTGAAAGGATTTTTTTTAGGCAGTCTCACTCCATCACAATTCACTGCAGCCTCAACTTCCTGAGCTTAAGTGATTCTCCCACCTCAGCCTCCCAAGTAACTGGGAGGAAGGCACACACCACCACACCCAGCTAATTTTTGCTACTTTTTATAGAGACTGGTTTTCTCCATGTTGCCCAGGCTGTTCTTGAACTCCTGGGCTCAAGCCATCCACCCACCTGAGCATCTCAAAGTGCTGGGATTACAGACATGAGCCACCCTACAGGGCCTATTGAAATGATTTGATTTGTTAATGTAGGTGAAAGTACCTTGGCCATCAGCACGTAGTAGGCCCTCAATACCTTTACTTATTCTTTTTTTTTTTTCCCTTTTATAAGTCTTAAGATGAATCTCCAGAACTCCACATGTAGGTTGACATCTTACTAATTTGTACAAATGAGAAGGAGGGCCTCACTGAATTAATAAAAATTATGGAAAAAATGAATTTTTGAAATTCAAGAACAAGTAACTGATACAAGGTTAATGAAGCATTACCTAGAATTAGCCCTTAAGGGAACAGCCTCAATAAATGGATAAGAATAATTTATAATTAGCCTTTTCTTTTTGCACCTCAAGAGTACTTGGGATGAGCTTATCTATAAGAAGCTTAGATATATCTGCTATTGCCTGTGATTTTATTTCTATATTTAATTTGTCTTAGGATAGTTTTCTTAGATATTGTGTAGCTAACAACATAGTCCCTGCCTAGGGACATTTCATGATAATCAGAAACTTTCAGGTTAACAAATATTAGCTTACTTCCCACAGTGTTTATATAAATTGAGTTGTATGTCCATCTGACATTTGCAGAAGCCCTGGGCTATCCTTAATATTTCAGAAATCCTCAAAATGCACAGATTTTGAGTAAAAGAAGCCAGACCCCAAAGACTACATACTGTATGGTCCTACTGATATGAAGTTGAAAAGAAATAAAAGTTATTTATACCCACAGAAATTGGATAGCAGTTGCCTTTAGTCGTGGAGTGGTTAGCTAAAATAGGGCAACATGGAATTTTTGGGGTGACATTCCATATCTTGATCTGGATGTTAGATGAGTTTGTATATTTGTTAAAGTTCTGTGTGATGTACATTTAACATTTGTGCATTTTACTAAAGGTAAATTGTACTTTAATAAAGTACTGTTAGAAAAAGGTGCATAGGTTGTTACTTGAATCTTAGATCTAACTTTATGGAGGAGGTGAACAAAGAAAAAAAAATCAGTTGGCCATGGTTAACTGGCAAAATAGTTAATGAAAGTTTGGTATATAGATTTCTATGATATATCCAAACTCTAGTCTTTGTCCCACCACCTATTACAAATATAATATGTCTATTATGATGGAAATTGCAATAATAAGGACTCTAACTTAAAATTAACCAATGGGATATTCTGGAATTCCTAACATGAGATTCCAAAATAAACTGCTTTACTTCTGTTGTTTTTACCAAGAGCTTTCCAACAGTGCTGCTTCTGTAAGTTAAAAAGCTAGGAAGAACCACTAACAGTTTTTCTTCAGGCAAAGTGCTAATGGCCCCTAAAGGGACTTTTCTTATCATTCTGTCACCTAAGTGTGATTTTCTAAGTAGCTTTTTTCTGGGCCTGCCAGGTTTGAGAAAATGCAATTCCTTCTTGACTAAAACATGAACTTTAAAGCATTCATGCTTTAAAAAAGAAACTACATTAAGTAGCCTGAGTCAGAATTTCTTATAATATAGAGACGCTTAAACTGATGGTTCTGGCCCAAATATCATCTCCCTTTGCACATTATTGATCAGGAAATATCCAACAAGAAATCTGAAAACTAAGAATTCTCCAGGATTTAATACATGATGTCCTCATATTGCCTTAAAATGATTAAGCAAAATGACAGTATATAGGTCATAGAAAATTTATTTTCACATGGGAATTTTGGGGAGAGAAGGAAGACATAAATACTACATAGTAATATTTGCATATCATTTTGGTGTGTTTCTCAAGTAAGAATATAGAGTTCTGTATTTGGCCCTGAATGTGTCTCCTGCCTTTATTTACCCTGGGAAACTAGGCAATTATACAAAATGGAAGCAGTTATACAAAAATATTCTGATCCCTAAGAATAACCCCCTTCCTCAAACTGTCAATCACTATGGGGGAGAGAGAGCAGGCAGGATGAAGAGGGCTTTGTTCTGGGAGATATTCTGTGCTTTGTTTCGTTTTGTATTTTGTACCTCCTACTTCCTCATCCCCATCCTTGTTTACCTAGTTTGCTACTACTCTTCTTTCTGATGTCAGATTAAAGTCCCTTCATCGGAGAAGTTTTTCCTTATCTTTCCTCCCATAAATGTCTCCCAGCTCCATACTAAATGCACTCACACACGTTGTCTACTACTCCTCTATAGTATTCACCACTGTAGGAATGCCCTTCTTACTCTCCAGTCTGTAAGCTACCGAGAAAGCAAGGAGTGTGTCTGTTTTCGCTTCATTTCCAACCTCAGTGGGCATTTTGTCTGGCATGCTGTAGTACAGGAGTCCCCAACCCCTGAGCCATGGACCGCTATCAGTCTGTGGCCTGCTAAGAACCAGGCTGCACAGCAGGAGGTGAGCAGCAGGCAAGCAAGTGAAGCTTCATCTGTATTTACAGCCGCTCCCCCTTGCTCCCATCACCACCTGAGCTCTGCCTCCTGTCAGATTGGCCCCAGCATTAGATTCTTATAGGAGCAAGAACCCCACTGGGAACTTTGCATGCAAGGGATCTACTTTGCATGCTCCTTATGAGAATCTAACACCTGATGATCTTTCACTGTCTTCCATCACCCCCAGATGGGACCATCTAGTTGCAGGAAAACAAGCTTAGGGTTCCCATTGATTCTACATTATGGTGAGTTGTATAAGTATTTCATTATAGACTATAATGTAATAATAAAATAAAGTGCACAATAAATTTAATGCACTCGAATCATCCTGAAACCATCAGCCCTCCCAACCTGCTGCCCTGGTCCATGGAAAAATTGTCTTTCATGAAACCCATCTCTGGTGCCAAAAATGCTGGGGACTGCTGCTGTAGTAGATGCCCAATAAGTACAGGATGGATAAATTTATAGATAAACTAATGAACTAATGAAATCTTTCTCTGAAACTGACAATGTTCTGAACATAAACTGTGAGTACATTAACTACTCTTTAGCAAAGAGTAGAAATGAATACTCAGTCTCCACTTGATATTTTCTCCCCAGTAGGGTTTTCTTTCTTCAGTCCTATCCTACATCCCACCCCTGAGAGGCTCCTTTGTGAGCTGTGAAAAAATTCTATAATTCTAAACATATAGTATTGCTGAAGCTGGGAGAGAAAAGGTGACAATCAAACTCAGCATGTTGGGATTCATTAGTCAATGAAGACAAGTAAGTTATGATATTGCTACTGCACTCCAGCCTGGGTGACAGAGCGAGAACCTATCTTAAAAACAAATAAAATAGGATAATTTTTTTTTTTTTGAGACAGAGTCTCCCTCTGTCACCAGGCTGGTGTGCAGTGGTGCGATCTTGGCTCACTGCAACCTCCGCCTCCTGGGTTCAAGCGATTCTCCTGCCTCAGCCTCCTGAGTAGCTGGGACTACAGGCGCATGCCACCAAGCCCAGCTAAATTTTGTATTTTTAGTAGAGACGGGGTTTCACCATGTTGGCCAGGATGGTCTTGATCTCTTGATCTCATGATCCACCTGCCTCAGCCTCCCAAAGTGCTAGGATTACAGGTGTGAGCCACCACGCCTAGCCAGGAAGATAAACTTTTAATGGCTGTCAAGTTTATGTGGCTCTGACTGATGACATCATTGTCTTATCAACCTGGTGTAGGATAAACATACCTGACAGCAATAACTTAAGCATAACCTTAGAATGACCTTGTATAGCACCTGAATGTATGTTCTGAACTAGGGAATCCAGGAGTAGCCAATCCAGAGATTCATTCCTTGTCCATGAGGAACATCTGAGCCCCGGTCCCATCCTATTCAGTCCTGTGGAACACAGGCCGTACAGGGGATTGAGGCCCAGAGTTTTAGGTTACAATATGAAGGTTGCCAGGTGGAGGTCACTGGGGGAGGGTGTTAAGTGGAAATGCTATATAAAGTGCATGCTGATTGCTAGCAGTTGCTGTTTTCCCGCCCAGCCCACTGCCACTGGGCTATGAGGTTATCATATTTAGCTCACCACCACTGGCCTCTCTCCCCTGTATGTGAGCCTTAATAAAACCCCATGTCTCATTTGTTGCCTCTGGGTCTCTTCTTTGGCTTCTTGAATCTTGTGCCTTCCTTATTGGGGTTAATAAGGGTTCAGCACAACACCCAGCAATTTCAAATGTAGACGACGCCTCTCAGAGCAACTACTGTTGTTTCATATCTTTCTATGTTCCAATAAATTCTGTTTTGTTCCTGCATCTTGAGTTGGCTCTAGGCTCACCATGCAGGCCCCCTCAGTGTCTAGCTCTTTAGGTTGTGGGATGTCTGGAAGGGGATATCAGACACAAACACTTCTATGCCATTACTTGTGGGCTCCCCGAATGCAGCCCAATGTCATCTCTATATGTGGAACGCCCAACCCCTCTATTGTGGTGAATTTTTTCTGATCCTTCAAGAGTCAGCTCTAGCACCCACTCTGCTGTCCAGTGGTTAAACTCACTCCTTGTGAAATCTGGCATACACCCAGTACACAGGACCTACCACCTCATATTGAGCATCTTACTTATTTGTCTGTAAACACTCTAAGAACTGTAAAGCCTGGAACTGTGTTGTACTTAGCTGCACAGCCGTAACAAAGGGCACATAGGAAATCTTTGATGGATGGTTTTCTTGTTGAGTGAATACCCTTTTCACCTTGACCATGACTCAACTATATCTATCTTGCCGAAAACTTTAGTCAAAAACTCTTACAGGTGACTGACTAGTAGTATATAGCATCAAAATGGAATACATATATATATATATATATATATATATATATATATATATATATATATGATGTTATATTTTCTATAAAAACCTTAGATTCTAAAAGAAACCATGCAATTCCAATGTTTGTAATTTGGCTAAATAAGACTGTGGCTATTTAGCATGTTATGAAAATAAACTCAGAGACTTTCAACATTATTGTACTTACATGTATAAAAGGGAAACTATCTCTGATAGAGTAGGTTGTTGTTCTGAAATGATCACTCATTTCTGTTCACTTCCATAGGAGATGACACTTCTCTGCTCCATTTATGTTGATCTTGGCCATGTGACTTGCTTTGGCCTCATTGTGGGCAAAATTAACACAAGTTGAGCTTAACTATGTAACTGGCTTTGGCCAGAGTAATATTATCAGAAGCAATGAAGCGGAGGCTTGAAATGTGCTGTCATGGTTGAATGTGTTCTCATGTGCTTGGGTCACTGCCAGGAGGACCTGGGCTCAGAGGGGACATGTGAGATGATGATACGGTTTGGCTGTGTCCCAGACCAAGTCTTTCTAGAATTGTAGCTCCCATAATTCCCACGTGTTGTGGGAGGGGCTTGATGGGAAGTAACTGAATCAGGGGGGAGGGTCTTTCCTGTGCCATTTTCATGTTAGTGAACAAGTCTCACAAGAGCTGATGGTTTTACAATGGGAAGTTCCCCTCCTTACGCCCCCTTGCCTGTTGCCATGTAAGATGTGACTTTGCTCTTCCTTTGCCTTCTGCCATGAGTGTGAGGCCTCCCCAGCCATGTAGAATCCATTAAACCTTTTTCCTTTATAAATTACCCATTCTTGGGTATGTCTTTATTAGCAGCATGAGAACAGACTAATAAAGACACTGTGTAACAGAGCCACCTTAACTAACCTGCCCAGCTGAGCCAAATCTAGATAAGCACTCCCAGCTGTCCCAAATGCAATGATAGACAGTTTTTAGCTGAAGCCACTATGCTTTGGGGTGTTTGTTATGCATTGATGTTAAATGTGCACATTTCTTATATGAACTTTTCTTTATATTGTGCCTCCCTCAAAGCCATGCACAACCAGACAATAAATTATTTCTGATCAAGGCACTAAACAAGGAAATGACCCAGATTGTGGGAAGTAGAGATTGGGAAGGAGGTTCTAATTAGCTGCTCTCTGAGCTAGGAATACAAATTTCTAGATACACCAGGCATCAGTTTGAATAATTGTATGGGATATAGGAAAGCAGCCTCATAGAAAAGCCTGCATACACTAACACACGCTCACAGCATCTATGTGATAGGAGGAAAGCTTCAGGAAAGGTAAATGATTAGGGTGGAAATTTTTAATAATTGTATGCAACCTGAGTATATTTAGAGCCATAATTATAAATGTAATTTACTGTAATGGTGTCTTCATGCTAACAACTATTAGTTTAATAAAACTGCTGTTATAATGAAGCAGATGCTATTACTGAAACAGCTCTATAATTGAAGGGCTATTATAGCCAGTTTAGAACAGAAACAGTAAATAAGTGGTAGTGGGAAGCTCTTCCTCCAGGGCTGAATATATTGAAAATTCAGACACTTTCCATACAGCAATACTTTGTGCCTTGATTTTAACATTTTACCTTCTATGTTTTTGTTTGTTCCTTTGTTTTTGTTTTTTGTCTTCCTGTCATAAGCTAATCAATGTTAGTGGGCCCAAGTCCACTTTAATCTAAGACCTTATTACTCAAAGAGTAGTGTGTAGGCCAGTAGCATTACTATCACCTGGGTACTTATTGGAAACTCAGAATCTTAGCCTAACCCCTGAACTCCTGGAGATGAATATTAGTTTTAACAAAATCCTCAGGTGATTTGTATGACTATTAAAGTTTCAGAAGCATTGGTCTTAGATATTCACTTGGAAAAATTACTTTACATGAACCAAAAATAATAATATAAGAATATTCACCCATACATACATACAAGATATATCATGAAACTAGCAAAAAGATACTGTTTTTGTTTTAACTTTTAGCCACAATTTTCTTTGTTAGGGTAGAAAAAGTACTAAAAGAGAAATGAAACGGCTTTACTCTATGGGGCACAGTATTGTTTAGGGATTGGGTTTCTTGCTTTATTACGGTAGATAATCTGTTTTCTTCTCAGCCTCTGAGTAGCTGGGACTACAGGTGCACACCACCATGCCTTGCTAATTTTTTTTTGTATTTTTCTGTAGAGATGGAGTTTTGCCATGTTGCCCAGGCTGGTTTCTTTTTTCCTTTTTTTTTTTTTTTTTGGAGATGGAGTCTCGCTCTGTTGCCCAGCGCAGGCTGGAGTGTAGTGGCCTAATCTCAGCTCACTACAACCTCCGCCTCCCAGGTTCAAGTGATTCCACTGCCTCAGCCTCCCGAGTAGCTGGGACTACAGGCTCACGCCACCACGCCTGGCTAATTTTTCTATTTTTAGTAGAGACAGGGTTTCGCCGTGTTGCCCAGGTTGGTCTCGAACTCCTGAGCTCAGGCAATCTGCCCACCTCGGCCTACCAAAAGTGCTAGAATTACAGGCGTGAGCCACCATGCCCGGCCCACCCAGGCTGGTTTCAAACTCCTGGGATCAAGCAATCTGCCCACTCTGGCCTCCCTAAGTGTGTAATTACATCTTTTTTCTTCTTAATGACAGGTTTAAAATACTTTTTCTTCTTCTTCTTTTTTGATTTTTTTGAGACAGGGACTGTGTTGTCCAGGCTGGAATGGGGTGGCATGATCTTGGCTCACTGCAGCCTCAACCTGCTGGGGCAAGCCATCTTCCCACCTTAGCCTCCTGGTAGCTGGGACTACAGGCACACACCACCATGCCCAGCTAATTTTTTGTTGTTATTTTTAACTTTTTTTTTAATAGAGACAGAGGTCTTACTATTTTGCCCAGGCTGGTCTTGAACTCCTGAGCTCAAGCGATCTTTCTGCCTTGGCCTCCCAAAGTGCTGGGATTACAAGCATGAGCCACTGCACCTGACCACTTTTGTTTCTTTTAGTTCTGGTAGCGTTTTATCATTTCACTGAAAGCATGTTTGTCCTATCCTCATGCAGTAGATTTTAGAAAACACTACCATATTTCAGTGATATCTCATAGCAACTGGCAGGGGGGACAGAATTCTTACAATACTTCAATGGGGATGTTTCTCTCTTGGCTTCAGCACCTGCAGTATAGGTATTCGTTCCGAATTATCCAATATATTCTAGCACACTTCGTGCATTTAATTGAATATAATTGTTTATACTGTAAAAATAATGTAATTTGTCTTATTGCAACTTTACCATGAAAACAGTGTTCACTGTGTCGTGTTGTCACTTCATAGATTGCTTTTGCTGTGTGTGAATGAATGAGTGTGTGTGTGCCCTTCATTACTGCATAACACATGTACATCCAGGGGCTCTAATACTGACTGCATAGCTTAGTGAATTTCTTCACATCTATATCCCTGTGTGGCCTCCACAAAGATTAAAGAATATGTCCAACACTACTGAAAGTTTCTTGTCTCTTGTCTTTGATCAACTTTGCTTGTTCTTGAACTTTATAAAAAATGGAATCACACAGTACTTGTTTGTGTCTAGATTTATGTATTGAAACCTTTGGTTTAAACATTTTAAAAAAATGAAGCCATTATACTAAGTAAAATAAGCCAGGCACAGAAGGACAAATATTACATGATCTCATTTATATGTGGAATCTAAAAATTCGAACTCGTAGAGGTAGGAAGTAGAATGGTAGCTACCAGACGTTGGGAGAGGGTGGGAGGTAAAAGGGGAGATGATGGTCAAAGGGTACAAAGTTTCCATTAGACAAGAGGAATAATTCCTGGTGATCCATTAAACATTAGGTGACTAGAGTTAATAATAACGTATAGTTCAAAATTGCTAAGAGAATGAATTTGAAATGTTTGTACCACAAAGAAATGATAAGTACGTGAGGTAATGGATATATTAGTCGGATTTACTCCTTCCACAATGTATACATGTATCAAATTGCTCCCCATATTGTACATTGGGGTACAATTTGTATTATGAGGGTACAGATTGTACCCAATGTACAATATGGGGTAAAATTTGATATATGTATACATTGCACCCCATAAATGCACCCCATAAATGTATATAATTATTATTTATCAATTAAAAAAACAAAGCCACAATGTTTTTTATTGTTTAAAAAAAGGAAAGAGATTTTGACATCACAGAATTTCTCCAAGAATCTAAAACAGTTTATTTTAGAAATATTCTGAATAACTTTTGGGAGGTTTATATTACAAAATGTTAATTCCTCCCTCATACACAGAAAGTAAAGAGAATTAGGCTATTTTGTAACATGAGTTTTAAAAATATGTGAAATACATGAAAATTACTTAAGAATTGTAAATATAGCACCTATGCCTAAATCCCGAGTTTTGGTATTGGAATATTGCCTTATTTAAAGCTTGTTTACACAGATTTTTCCATAAAATTTTACAGGATTTCAATGAATCAGAACGTACTAAAAGTGATGACTGTGCACTTAACTTTATAGATTTACGAATAAAACTACATCATTGTTTTAATGCGAAAAGAATGAATAGCTTAATCCCCAATCCAATAAATGTTTCACTACCAGTTTGGCAGTTTTTCAATCATAATGACTGAAACTTTGGAACCCAAAAGCTTTTCCTGCTTGTGTTTAAAATAATGATCATACAGGTGGTAACGTGCGACTGTCCATTTCTGTGCTGAAGAGACAACCCAGAGCGAGAGAAAATATTTGCAAACCACACATCTGATAAGGAGTGAATATCCAAAATATATAAGGAACTCAAACAATCTTATAGCAGAAAACAAAGAATCGAATTTTTTAAAAAAATGGGTAAAGAATTTAAATAGACATTTCTTGAAAGTAGATATACAAATGGTCAACCAGTTTATGAAAAAATGCTCAATATCACTAATTGTCAGAGAAATTAAAATTAAAACAACAGTGAGATATCAGCTCATACCTGTTAGAATGGCTATCATCAAAAAGACAAAAGATAACGAACGTTGGCGAGAATGTGGAGTAAAGGGAACCCCTGTACACAGTTGGCAGGAATATAAACTAGTATAGCCAATTAGGGAAAACAGTATAGATATGCCTCAAAGAACTGAAAATAGAATTACCCTAGAATTCACCAATCTCATTTCCATGTTCATATCCAAAGGATTTGAAATCAACTGTTAAAGAAATATCCACTCTCCTATGTTCTTGAAGTATTATTCACAACAGGCAAGATATGGAACCAACCTAAGTGTCCATCAGTTAATCAATGGATGAAGAAATGTTTTATATATATTTATCTCCATTCATCAGTTAATGAATGGATAAAGAAATGTTTTGTATGTATATATACACTGTTCAGCCTTAAAAAAAAGAAGCAAATTCTGTCATTTGCAACAACATGAATGAACTTGGAGGAAGTTACGCTAAGTGAAATGAGCCAGGTAGAGAAAGATAAGTAAATACTGTTATGATTTCACTTATATGTGGAATCTAAAAAAATCAAACTTACAGAAGTAGAGAGTAGAATGGTGGTTACCAGAGGCTGAGACAGAGATGTTAATCAAAAGGTACAAAGTTTCAGTTAGACAGGAGGAATAATTTTTGAGATCTATTGCACAGCATGGTGACCATAATTAATAATAATATATATTTCAAAATTGCTAACAGTGCAGATTTTAAGTGTTCTCACTACAAAATAATGATTAGTGTGTGAGGTGATGGATATGATAACTAGTTTGATCTAATCATTCAACAATATATACACATAGCATCACATTGTACCCCATAAACATATGTAATCATTATTTGCCAATTATAAATAAAAATTGCAAAAAATGAAATTATTGTCCTGTCAGAAAAAGTCCTAGTAAAAACCCTCTCTTTCAGAAGTAGTAATTAAAGTTTAATTACTTCTTCAGAATGACAATTAAAAATCAATTCAGTTCTGTGTGATCAGTAAATTTTAAATTGCAGTTTGAAAAAGATCAGGGTTGCCGGGCACGGTGGCTCACGCCTGTAATCCCAGCACTTTGGGAGGCCGAGGCGGGCGGATCACCTGTGGTCAGGGGTTGGAAACCAGCCTGGCCAACATGGCGAAACCTCGCCTCTACTAAAAATACAAAAAAAAAATTAGCTGGGCGTGGTGGCCCATGCCTGTAATCCCTGCTTCTTGGGAGGCTGAGGCAGGAGAATCGCTTGAACCTGGGAGGCAGAGGTTGCAGTGAGCCAAGATCGCGCCACTGCACTCCAGTCTGGGCAACAAGAGTGAAACTCCATCTTAAAAAAAAAAAAAAAAAAAGAAAAAGAAAAGAAAAAGATCAGAGTTATCCTAAAATAAATAACTCAGAAAATTAATTTCGTTGTAAATATAGAGGATTAGATTTAGCTTATGGAAAATTTCAAAAGTGAAAGCAAGCTCCAGTTTTGAAATCACATGGTTGATAGAATAAACAAGCTCCTTGTTATAGTTGACACTTTATTCACTAAAATTATCAGTACAGTGATCTTTGGGCATCAAACATAGTAGAAAATAAAATTACTTTTACATTTCCAGAAAATCTTCTCAGGCTTTTTGTCCCTTATCACCTACAAAATCTACATTAATCAGTCAATCAATCAAGACATTATTCAGTGCTGCACTGTTGGTCATAAATTATAATCACTGCCAGAAATAATGGTGAATAATAAGTGTTTCACAATATAGCCTCTGAAAAGAAGATAACATTATAATTAAGGCCAAAAGAAACAAAGCAGATGGCAATGTTTTTTGTACTTACACCAGTCATTAAATTACCTAACAGAGCAATGTTGTATTGAGCAGTCACTTGGAAAATGAACAATTATTCCCGAAACTTCAGAAGGAAGCATAGGGTGTAGTCACCTCAACCATCTTCATGCTATCTATCTATCTATCTATCTATCTATCTATCTATCTATCTATCTATCTATCTATGATCTGCCTATCTCTTTATCAATCATCTGTCTACCTACCTGTTATCCATCTATCTACCTATCTATCTAATCTATTTTTTAACTGACCTCTCTTTTTTCACATTTTAAATTGCTTTTCTAGAGGGTGCCATAGTCTAAATGCTAAAAAACTTTGGGTTTAGCCACTGAAATATCCACTCTCTCTTTACCTCCTCTTCATGGTACTTTATAAGCCTAAAGAAGAATACAGTTTGATGAAAAACCTTAACTAGCTTTCTTTTAGAATACAAACAAAGTGGCAAGCACTGATTGCTTTACTTTGCATATATTTTCAAAGCACATGGAAAATATATTTAATAATCTTCCTTGCTTCAGCTCAAATTATGACTTCATTTCCCAGTTGTCTTACAAGAATTGATGCTCGGATGCGCTCTCCTGTGGAATGTGTTTGGGGAACATGTTGAAGCACGGAACTATTTCCATTGTCTAGCCACACATGGGCAAGGAACTTGTGGGGGGTCACTCTGTAGCATACAACACAAAGCCCCAAAATATTATTCAACACTAGTCGAGGTTTAATGTTGAATTGCTACTACTTCAAACAGGTCAGGTTTTGACAGCTAATGAATTATAGATTTTAATTGAAATTAAGGGAAAAAATATACAATTAAAAGCAATAAGACAGTTTAGGAAGTGATGTGTGCCAAGGGTAGAATGGACGGAGTGGTCTGCCCTCCGTTCAAGTAATAAAGGAATGCATTATCTGAAAGAATTTTTCTTAAATGGCAACTAAAAGTTGGTTGTGTTTGCTGTCATTGTTTCCTGGCAATTCTTTATGTCAGTAGTAAAATAATCTTCCTCCCCAAAAAATCTTTTGTTGGTTTCACTTTTATACAATAGCTGAGGTTACTGTTCAGTTTTCATTGTATACATAGTAAAATATAATTCATATATATATATATAATTCAAAGCATATACATGTTTTAAATTTGCACATTTTTATTACTTATTTTTAAATAATCATTGCATTCTACGTGGAAGTGCTTTTAGAGAACTCCTACTTATAGTGAACTCCCAACATAGAACTGACATATGCACATTCAACACCATGTTTGTTTCCAGATCACATTAGTAATGGATTACTTGAATTCACTCATTTGGTCAAAGGTTGTATCTCTAGCCTCTGCGGTATTACATATACAAGAGTTTAAACAATAGATTGGAAATAAGCAAGGATAGTACGTACAGCCATCTTTACCATCTAAAGATGAACAACCGGAACTTGAGTCACTTCGAGTCTGTCATTCTGTAATCCAGGGTCCTCACGTGTTTAGGTACACACTGTGAAAAAGGGCCCACTTGTAACTGTCACACCTTGAGTTCTTGTTGTTTCAAAAAGTTATAGGAAGAAGTTCAGCCCCAGCAAAACAAAACTGGGATGGACGCAGCAATGCTGATGCTTGAGTTGGATTGAAGTTGAATAACTCCCCTCCTTAGCATACTAAAACCCTGCCCAGGAAGGAGTTTATTTTCCCTTTTCTATACATGCAATATAGGTAGAAGCATGACAGGCGACTGCTCCTGGCTGCCTTTACTCCCCCTTGATCAGCCCAATAAAAGCCCAATTTTCACCTTTGTTCAGACAGGCACTGCTGAACTACCCCAACCCCATGTCCTCCTGACTTGTTGCAAGTCATAAAATCCCTGTGTTAAATCCTCCTTGGGTGTAGTCATTGGAGGCTCACCCACCAAGTGAGCTAGGGTGGAGGGTGTTAGATGCTGCAAAAGCCTAATTTGGATAGGCAGACCTAAAAATTACTAACAATAATGCATTGCAAAATCATGGCATTAGAAAAGGAGACACATAAACTTCCAAAACTCAATACAGAATATTCGATAATAATGTATTTTTCTTATTCCATTTTTTGTATTATATTTATCTTGTTAAAATATTTATTTTCAAATACTACGTTCTTATCTTCTTTATAATTGTTGCATTAACTTTTCTATCCAACTTTCTGGCACCACTCTCTCCAATCCCCCTGGGCCTACCACCATGAAGCAGCTCTCTCTGGCTTACCACTTCCTTGTTGTAAATTTTTATTGCCTTGTATTCCAGATCTGCAATTTCTCTGATGTCCATTAAATCCTGCTTTTCTACCATGATTTTGATCTTTGTTTACTGTTGGTTGTGACACATGGAGAAAACATACGCCTTAAAATGTTCACCGTCCTAAAAGGTTTGTAACTTATTGTAACTATTACTTCTCAGTTGCTTTCTCAGATCCTGACAATCATGCAGTAACTTCCAATTTGCTGAAATCAGCAAATTTCTACCTAGGGTGACCAACGTGACCATACAATTTGTTGTTCAAATCATGACACTTGTGAGACTAAAGGGTTTATTACTAAGAAATTACAGTTGATCCTTGAAAATCATGAGTTTGAGTTGCAAGATTAACTTATATTCTGATTTTCTTCTGCCTTTGCCATCCCTGAGACAGTAAGACCAAGTCCTCCCATGCCCCCTCCTCCATGGCCTACTCAACGTGATGACAAACAGGATGAAGACCTTTATGATGATCCACTTCCACTTAACTAATAGTAAATATATTTTCTCTTCCTTGCAATTTTCTTAGTAGCATTTTATTTTCTCTACCTTACTTTATTGTAAGAATACAGTATACAATACATAGCATACAAAATATGTGTTAATTGACTATGTTATTGGTAAGGCTCCTGGTCAACAGTAGGCTCTTAGTCATTAAGTTTTTAGGGAGTCAAGAGTTATAAGTGGATTTTTGACTATGTAAAGAGTCAGCTCTCCTCACCTCTATTTTGTTCAAGGTTCTACTATAGTTTTATTATATGAATAGACCTATGTAATATTTTTATTAAAACTATTTTAAAAAGTACAATTCCAATAATATCCTTTTAAAATTAAAAATCTGAGGCAAATAACAAACTAATCAAGATTAATTAATCTGAGATTATATCAGATAAACTGCGGTAAAGGGTCAATCTTTTTATAACTAACCTGGGCTTACAGAAAGTAATTTTACATTAGTTAAGGTCAGTTAGATGGACTGATTATTTAACTCTATCTTTTTTGGCAATTCACCCTATAAATAATCAACCAACAAATGGAAATTCATTTACAATGAACTTGGTGTCTTTTTTAACATATCTACAATTGTAGCTTCATTAAAGCTCTGATTTTTCCTGATGTACTTTGGCTTATTAAAATGTATAGTTTTCAAGTTCAATATCTATGGAATAGTTCTTTGCTAGCTGTTTAGCACGTTAAATGGTGGAATTTCCATGTTCAGTATAGGGTACAGCACCAAAAAGATTGATATAGATGATTTCACACTGAGAAAAAAACTGAGGTGCTTATAAAACCTTCTACCATCCCACTGGTAATATTGAGGTGGGGCAATAGACTTATTATTAGATTAGCAAGTTCAATTGAGTTAGGTTCAAGTTCACAGAGCTTAGAATTCTATGCTGGAATTACTGGCCAGATGGCCAATAGGCAAATAGTTTGTTTTAAACGCAAATAATACCTTCCAAAATTCTTGCAAACCAAAGAAAGCGACCACAAACCAGATCATACCATGTTGGCTCAAGTGTTATGTTAAACAAAGTTATAAAAGAACAGCATCTGAGTAAGAAAGGAAGAAAACAGAAACTGGGGAAGTGCACAGACCCTATGCAATGATCTCACTCCTCCATACAGCAGGGCTGAAACTTACATTCAGAAAAGGAAGTTAAATTCTACTGTTATGCCAAGAACAATTTCCTCAAGAAACAGTGAAAACAGTGCTTTCCCAGTGGTCCATTTTGATAGATTCCTCCAATAATAATAGCAAGTAATTTCCATGCAATCTAACCCATCTTTAATTAAATTGTTACCCCATTCACTCTCTTAAAGGCCAACTTGTTTCTCCAAACAGATGTGACATAATTACCAGCTCCAAGAGATTGCTTCTCAACTGAGCCAACTGTATTTTCCCTCTTCTCTCTTTTAAATGCTAAAATTTCTAATGGCCTGTTGGAGAAGAGTTAATACCATTGAGCAGTTTAACAGTTTCAGGAAATTGTCCAAACACGTCTAGCAAAACAGAACATATTTCATGGAGCATTTCACTTGACGGTACAGTAATAAGCAATTTGCCTCTGCAAAGATTTTAGGGTTTATTTTGGAACAAACACCAAACTGACTAGTAGGCTATATTTCTCTATTCTTTCTATTCCTTTCCTCTCCTGGTGAGAGAGAACCATACATGTTGCTTTACTCATCAATTGCATTAACTTAAAATGTCTCTGGTGGGGTAACTAAAACCAGTATCCATTATCCATTCCTTACATCCCAGCCTATGTTTACCTATTTGTCACAGTGGGTTGAGATAGAGCAAACTGCTGGGTCTCAAGAGTGCTCGCCACTCAATGAGAAAGGAGGCAATAGACTGAAGAAATGGAAATGGTCCTGGAAGAATCATTGTTGAGAGTGTGGGGTAAAAAGAATTGCCATTGGTCCTCCCTGAGAAAAGGCTTCTTGTCCCCTTGTCACAGTAAGAACTATCTGGCTAGGTACAGGGGCTCACACATGTAATCCCAGCACTTTTGGATATCAAGGCCTCCAGGAGGATTGCTGAGGCCAGGAGTTTGAGACCATCCTGGACAACATAGCAAGAGCCCATCTCTACCAAAACTTTCAAAATAAGTAGCCCGGCTTGGTGATGTAGTCCTAGCTACTCTAGAGGTTGAGGTAGAAGGATTACTTGAGCCCAGGAGGTCAAGCTGCAATAAGCCAATGTCGTTCCACTGAACTTCAGCCTGTGTGACAAAGTAAGACCTTGTCTCTAAAAAACAAAAACTATCCAATATCTTCCTTCCAGAGAGAAAAGCTACAAAAGAGCACGACTGTCCATTTATTAATGCCACATTGGTAATATTAGACATTTCAGTGGTGCTATAGATTTCAATATTTTTTTTGGAGCCAAACATTCCAGAGGGCACCCAATTTTTGTTGTTGTTTTTGTTTGGTTGGTTTGGTTTGGTATTCTGGTACCTTGTAGGTTAAACTGTGTTTTTAGGGTGAGGTCAGAGGAAAATATAAGCGAAAGAGGAGGGGAAGAAAACAAGAACAAAGAAAGAGGAGGAAGTTGGGGCAGGGGGTTAAAGCATACTCACCTATAGTTTTCTAATTATGTGAATTTCATGTGTAACACAACCATCTCACAGCCCAAACTATAACTAAATGAAAAATTAAAAGGAATTCCACTCTTGATTTATATTTTTCAGAAAATATTTATCAGTGCTATTTACCATTATTTTTAGTATTTTTAGATACATGGGTCACTGCATGTCTCTGCCCACTTCGAAGTTAGGTGTGGCCATGTTGTTTGTTTTGACCAGGAACTTATAGCTCAAGGGGACTGTGTCACTTCTGGGCAGACATTTGAAGAGCCAGTGTGTGATTCGTCATATGCTTTTTCCTTCTGCCACAGTAACCGGAAACATTAGAAACGGTGCAGGCTCCGTCACTGGGCCTTAGAGTGGAGGTGACACAGAGCACAGCCCCCTCTTGATCTGCAATGGGACCATAGCCAGACTGAGAAATACATTGTTTTTCTGTCAAGCTCAGCTGCCAAAAACTGATTAAACCAATGCCTTTCAAGTAAAATCTTTATGCTCCTTAACTCTCCTCTCCACCTCTGCTTCAACCCTAAGGATGTCAGAGTGTTCTACTGAGTAATGGAGGAGAAATAGGACAAGGGGAAGGGAGGAAATATTGATAATGGGAGCCATATTCTTTTCTCCACCATATGCTTGTAAGTCACATAATTTAGATATTAGGCGAGTGAATGAAACTTTTACATTCGACTTTTCTAGACTTAAAATTTTATACTAAATTTTTATTTATGTTACTTAATATTGACATGAGAAATATATTCCCATGATTAAAAATTCAAAAGATCAAATCAATGTATACAATGAAAAGTCTCCCTCAGACCCCCAACCCTATTAGCCCAGATCCTAACATCCACTTATTTTAAAAAAAAATCACAGTCATGTCTAATTTCAGAGATTTGTAGAAGACTGTACAAGAAATACAAATATATCACTTTCTTTTCTCACCATACTTATTCAATACATTGTACATATGACTGTATAGGGTTTAATAGGAAGGGAAGGAAAAAGGATGAAAGCTGGTATTTTTTTAAGGCTTGCTCTGTGAAGTATGGTTTACATACACTCACATAGCAGGTGTCTCCTAACCCTGCAAGTAAGAGAGAAGTGAAAAGAGGTGGAAGGAAAAGGTCATGTCAAAGAGAAGACGGTATTGAATAGTGTGTAGAAGGAAGACAGAGGTGTCTTACCAGGAATTTGAGGAAAGGAAAAACCATGGGCAGTATCTCTTAGGAATCAAAGGGCAGTCCAAGAAGCCATCAGCTATCCTTAGAGATCTGAATGCCATTCTAAGGAGCTTGGATACTTTGTATTGTTGGAGACAGGCTGCAGGAAGCACTTGACCAGATTGGCATTTAGAAAGATCATTTCCTAGTATTCTACTCCTACTGGTGGCCTTTGTGGTTCACTTTCCAAAGTGTCTTCCCTTCTATTAACTAATTTGATCTTCACATTAACCTCTAAGAGGGGTTCTCATTCTATCATTGTCCAGATAAAGGTCAACTCAGTTGCCAAATGTCCCTGCACATAGCTGGTCAGTGGAAGGATCATATATTCCCTACTTCTCTTTAGTCATCCCCAGGATTGATGAAGAGAGGTGACTGGCCAGAGTAGAGTGGAAGAGGGGACTGAATCTGTACTGGGCTTATGTATTTTCTATAACTTGAGGAAAGGAAATGAGAAAGCACAAGACACAGGAGTAAAACAAAATTAAACTAATTTTGCAAATTTATTCCTCTCTAGGGGTCATCAGGAAAATGGCAAAATTATTATCTGTAATTGGGGTTTTCTACAACTATTCTGCCAGCAAATTTTCGAAGAATTCTGCAAAGGTGCATGCAGAACAAAATATTTTCTTCAAGAGTTTGAACCTAGTGTTAGAAAACTAACAAGAACCAAAAATGGAGGAGTAACTACCAATTTACCAATCAGCAAACCGAAAATTTTCTTATCTATAAGAAGGCAGTTGTTCAAAGAATAACTAGAACATAGAAATGTTCGATAGATAGATGAACTTAAGTAGGAAAAAACTATTTAATTAAATGCAAGTCAATGTGCCAGAAAATAATTATGCATTTTATTTCCTTCATATATGATATCCATATATTAATATCTTACAAATAATGCAATAAAAGATTTCAAGCTGTAAACATGTCCAGCTGCCTTGTGAGTTAAAAAATGTTACAAAAATTTCAGAAAATTATATGGCTATTAATACCACCTTTATCATTTGCTGTGGCAGTGCTGACAAGAATAAGAGAAGATTTAAATGTCAGAATAGTTCATGTCAAGTGTTTTTTCTTCCTAGCACACTTTAAGAATATATATTTTTAATAGCTATACTGTATTTAGAGCTGTCCCATAGAACACTGGTAATTTTGGTTTTAAGTTTGCGTAACAGCATTTTAAAAATAAAATCTAATGCAATAGTCATTATATACATTAAAATGGTAAATAATCTTAGTAATAAAAAGATACGTTAATTACATTTAACAAATGAAATGAAGCTATTAACCATAAATTTTATGTCTTTATTGGTTTCAATATTTGTTTTTTTGGAATTGCATTCCTTAGAAGAAAACAATATCAACTTTGGAGAATAAAATAAAACATAGGGATAATACAAGCAAGAAAAAGTCATATATATATATATATATATATATATATATATATATATATATATATATATATGCGATATATCTTTTTTAAAAAAAATAGTGGCATACCGCATACTATATACACTGCTCCTGCACTTTTAAAAAGAAGACTGTTTATAAATACATGTTAAGGCCTTAAGACTGCACACTAACAATCAACAGCCACGAATTTACAGGAAACTCAACTCCATAGAAGAGTTGTGCCTCAGGCCAAGATATGGCATCGGTATGTTTCTTACCACCTATTGTGTGGGATTAATCATAGACTGACATTTTGCTTCCCCAGCTAGAAAATTCAGAAGGACCAGGGATGCTGTTCAGCATTCCAAGCTAGACTGTCTGGCAAGCTGGAAGAAGCTTCTCTAGAGAGGTGGCCACAGGAGGTGGGAGAGGGTTGAGCAAGCCCTCATGGGAAGGCACAATGGAGGTGACCTGGATTGGACCCGCTGCCTTGGGGCACTGCTTTCAATGAAAAGGGCAGACTGTGTCTTTGTTTCTTCAACAAGCACACACTGAGAGCGTGTGGTGCATCAGGCACTGTGCTAGGCACCTGGGGAAGAGCAGTCTACTGCTCATCCAATGGAGTCTCTCCTAGCCTGATCTGACAGCGAGGATGGAGGGAGTTATTAAGCAAATAAGTGAAGACATTAATTTAGAGTTAGAAATTGTGCCAAGTGATTTGTTTTGGCAGAGGTTGGTCCTTGTCGTGGAAAAGGGATCATCTGTTCCAGGTCTTGAATGGAACATAGCCTCTGTCTGTTTCGTCTGTGGATCCACAGTGCGTGCCTCTTGTGTAGCTGGCAGCATGAGAACGAAAAATGATGACCTGGTATCAGTCTCAGGTGTATCCATTGGGGGTGTCTGGATATGAACTGTTGGGGTATCTGAGAAATGCGTATTATAAATGCAAGTATGAATACAAGTACCAATAGTCAGGATATCCAGTGTACTTGTGTGGTTTCAGGAATTGTTAACTGTTTTAGCTATGATTTCACTTAAGCCTCCTGACCACCCTACTACAAGTTAGGACCTTCCTCATAAATCTCATATTATGGAAGAAGAAACTATGTCTTAGGGAGGTGAAATCACTTACCTAATACCATAAAAATAATTAAGAGTGACTCTAGGATTTGATTCGAGGCAAGCTAACATTTGAGCATGGGCTAGTAATCACTAATAAAGGATGTATAATAAAAATAAAGAAGAAAGAGTTTGGTAAATCTTACCTTTCTTATTATAGAAATAAAACACTTAGAGACGGTGTGAGCTATTTGCACACAGTTGAACTCTCAGGTATGGCACTGATTCTGTATATCTTTCTGACTTCCCAATGACAGAAAAAATTATGTAGTTGTTTGATACAGGTACAGCTCAGGTACAGTTTCTCCTGTGATCCCTATGCAGCTGTCAAACCTACCATCATTGCTCATATCATAATGGATTACAGTAGGCTCTATGTTGTCATCCACGATGTTAGCATTTGAGGCAAGATTTGGTTCTTATTATCTGAAATATCTGTATATAACTAGAAACTAGAAGAGTATATAGAATCCGAATGTAAATGTATGTGGTATTGGCTGTAAAATATTTGAATTCTCAAACAAAGAGACCAATTCGTATGGTATAAAATATAATTTAAAGGTATCTCTTATTAAAATGTTCTGTCTCCTTTGTTAGACTCTGCTTTCTTTTGCTTTCTTTTACCTCATGGACTGATTTGATAGATGTTTCCAATCAAAATGACCTTTACCTAAATTAATAATCTGCTAAACAAATCACTAAAATACTGGATACAGTTTAGTCATAATCTTTTCTATAATCTTTCAGTAAATTTCTTATATTATGTAACCAGAAAAATATGTAATCTTTTCTGAATTCCTTTAGTAAATTCCTTACATCATGACTTTTGTTAACAAATATTATCTGCTGGTTGTTTCTAAAAAGTAGAAAGACTGACTTGTCCATCTAATGTTTAATAGACTAGAAGCTCAAAGGCAGCAGTAACATTACCTGTTTATTTATCAGTGTTCCCTGCACCGAAAACAATGCCTAACAAATAATACACTTCTAGTATGCATTGGTTGAATGAATTAATGAAAAATAAAATGAGAGAAAAGTTTTGTGAATCACACCCAAATCTCCACAAATATTTAACTTAATGTGTGCTTCTGTTTTTATCAAATTGCAGCAAGTTAGCCTATTCACTTATTACAAATGTCAGAGTTGAGTATATCCTTTGAGCTACCTGAATGGCATGGATTTTAAAGGGTAGATATTGGCACATATACCAAGAATAAAACAAGCTTATATAAATTTAAACAACAACCAAAATGTTCTAAATTTTATAGACAAGAGTATACAAATACAATTCTCTGCTATATGACCTCTTTATCTTCTCTTCATTGAACAACTGATACAGTCATTGGCACTAATTCTGTATATCTTTCTGACTTTCTAATGCCAGAAAAAAATATATAGTTATTTGATTTTCTCCAGTGTAACTCATACATAAGGTTTTGCTTCATTCAATCCTATATTGATGTTCAACACGTCAGGTGAATATATGAGAAGGCATTGTTCCGTGGAATGTACAAAAGAAGAAAATTAGGGAATGTGAAGAAAAAAGCAATACTTGTATGTTTCTCAGAATTATTATTTTCACCCTTACCTAAAATATCCCAAAAGCACATAAGCTATTATAGTTATTCCTTGCTTGAGAAGTCATCATCAAATACTTTCTGAATGAAAACCACATCCGGCTCAAAATTTAACAAACATACATCTTGGCATGAGAATAGACTCTGAAAAGCTCAGTAATATCACTCCAGTGATAGAAAGAATCTTATTTTTTCTTGGGTTTTCAACCTTGACAAGTGGTACAGGAAGATTTGTGGATAATTTGGTCAATTTTTATACAGCATACACTCAAAAGAATGAAATGAAGGCCAGAACGTCTGCTTTACTAATGACCCGTGCTGTACTTGGGATCCCTACCACCACCATGTGACACAGAAATAAGCCATCTCAGTTGAGGATACCCTCAGCCTGTCTTCGACTCATCTGGAAGTTCACAGCTCTCCTATAAGTTCCTCTAACTGAACTTAGTCTGACGTACATCAGCAGAAACAGCTAGCTGGGCCTACCCCAAATTTCAAATAGCCGAAACATGAGCCTAAACAAAGAGTTGTCTTAAGCCACTAAATTTTGGGGGTAATTTATGCAACAAAAGCTAACTCACTGTCCTTGGGTTAGTCACTATTATGGCATCACATGTCTCTGGTAATGCATCACCAACTATAACTATCTTATTTCCGGATGTTCCCCGCCGCCTTGAGATTGTGATCCCCAAGGGGACAGGGCCCTTTGACAACTTTATTTTGCCACTGTACCCCAAATTCTCAGAAGGGTTCATAGTTGTTAGTTGCCCAATAAGCATTGGTGGAGTAAAGAAATAATATCAATTTTATATAATTATTTGAAGGTTAAATAAAATAACATAAAGGTGGTCGGGCGTGGTGGCTCACGCCTGTAATCCCAGAACTTTGGGAGGCCGAGGCAGGCAGATCATGAGGTCAGGAGATCGAGACCATCTTGGCCAACATGGTGAAACTCCATCTTACTGAAATACAAAAAATTACCCGGGCGTGGTGGCACGTGCCTGTAATTCCAGTTACTTGGGAGGCTAGGGCAGGTGAATCACTTTATCCTGGGAGGCAGCGATTGCAGTGAGCTGAGATCGTGCCACTGCACTCCAGCCTGGCAACAGAGCAAGACTCTATCTCAAAAAGAAAAGAAAAGAAAAACCCATAAAGGCATATTTTGATTCTTGGCTATTGGCTATAGGAATACACTTTTATTATTGGTTTTATTGTCTTATTAAAAGATAAATAATGACCAAGAAACAAAAAGATATTTGGAGAGTCATTATTATATAAAAGGAAAAATGAGGTTCTGAAGACTTGTGAAAAATATTATGTACTAGACTAGAAAATGAACATAGTGGTTAAAAATGAACACTCCCTAATTAATAGGCTAAATTTCTATAGTTAATGAGCTTCTTGCATGTTTACTATTTATTAACTGATTTTAAAAATGTATGAGGAATTTAGATACCTTTTCCATACTTTATTTATTCAAAACATATTCTGTACCTTTACCCAAAATAAATATTTTATTAATCTTATTGCTTTTTAAATCACCCACACACAATCATTTAAATCATCAGTAAGTCAAGGCAATACATGGATCATAAAATCATCTAAAACTATAATCCAGCAGCCACAACCAATCTATTTTATGGTCAAATGCATGGCTAAATCTTTTATAATTAATTAGCTTGTAACTGTTATGAGCAGCCTTCACAAACTAAAAAATATTTGTCTGGTTTTTAGAAAGTGCCAAGGATGAGATGGGTAATTTGAATAGCAATTTTCTTCTCGAAACATATTTAATAATTGCTGGCAAAACTGTATTGAAAATATCATCTTATGAGTTACTTTCCAAAATTAATTTTAGACAGACAGTATTTACCTAAATCCTCATATATCATTTTAAAGTTCAATAACAAATAACAGATGTGTATTTCAAATACTCAACAATGCAGTTAATTTTAAAAACTTAAACATCTTACTATATGCATATATATAGGCAGCATATATACCCAAGATAAGAGGTAGATTTTTCACTTCCAAATTTCAATGTTTGTTTCTACATGAAAAGCATGAGCCTAAGTAAAAATTTGTGCATTTTCCCCTTCACTTCCAAGCAATTGAATTCATTAGAGCATCTCATGTATATTTATCAAATTCCTTAGACACATATATCACTGACATTCACTCTAATCGTAACAGTCTTAAAATTTTATGTCAAGCAAGCTTTTAATATCGTTAAAGTAGTTCAGACCCAGGATTTAGAGACATCATATAGACTAGCTTTTCTTTATACAAGTCCTGTACTTCTTTGACTCAGTTCCTCCACCTGTAAAGTGAGGATATTATCTCTTGCCTGACCTTCAACATTATTATAAAAATGAGCATGAAGGTTAATTTTAAAGTATCATTAGGAGTTTGAGAGTGTGGTAGTAGATACACCACTAAACAAAAGATTGTACTTGGTAGGATACAGGCCAACTTGATTCATGTATTGACTTATGATCTGCTCTGCCAGTCTTTCTTTGAACTGATTTCTACTTTCCACCTATGTATGATGGCCTTTAAGGACATTCTTAGCCAACTCCATGCCAAAAAAGCACCCTGGGAAGAAAATCTACCTCCATCAATGGCTTTAAAGTATGGCCTGTGAATCTTGTCCATCAGCATTTACTAAAGGGGCCCATGAGAAAAAGAGAGGACTGAGAAAATCACTAATTATTAAACATTTCAAAGTAAAGGTACAAATCAATTACCCTGCATCTCCCTCTCTCTCTGGGGCGCAGTGGCGCGATCACTGCTTAATGCAGCCTCCATCTCCCAGGCTCAAGTGATCCTCCCACCTCAGTCTCCTGAGTAGCTGGGACTACAGGCGCATCCCCTGCCTGGCTAATTTTTGTATTTTTTTTTTTTTTTTTTTTGCAGAGATGGGGTCTTGCCATGTTGCCGAGGCTGGTCTCGAACTTCTGGGCTCAAGTCATCCACCCACCTCGGCCTCCCGAAGTGCTTGGATTACAGGCTTGAGCCACCACGTCCAGCTACTCCACATTTCTAGAGAGTAAGTTCTCCTTAAATTATAAGTCTGGGACATACCTTCACTGCTGTATAAAATTAAGCCTCTCATTTAGTTTTCTCATTCAGTTCACATTAAACATATTATATGCTGGGAATGATACTAGGCACTGGAGATTAAGCTACAAAGAAAAAAGCAATGTCTATGCTCTGTTATGGCTCATATCCTTCAGAGGCTGCCAGAAAACATGGAGGAAAACCTAATGTAGAAGATCATGTCCTATTGTGATTAATAAAGCAAGCCACGGGAACATCAGTTGCTTTGGGGGAAGTACCCTTCGTTACTTTGAATAGAGTGAAGAAGGCAATGTGGAGAGATGGCAATTTTGCTGAGCTGGAAAGATCTGGAAAAATTGCAGAAAGGATGGAATAGAGAATACAAAGGCCCCACGGTAGGAAAAGGTCCCTAAGGTAGGAAAAACGTTGGGTATTGAGGCCAGTGCAAGCTAGTGGCATGATTGGTTAAGTAAGGAAGGTAAATCGGCCAGGCGCGGTGGCTCACGCCTGTAATCCCAGCACTTCGGAAGGCCAAGGCAGGCGGATCACGAGGTCAGGAGATCCAGACTATCTTGGCTAACAGGGTGAAACCCCGTCTCTACTAAAAATACAAAAAATTAGCCGGCCATGGTGGCGGGCGCCTGTAGTCCCAGCTACTCAGGAAGCTGAGGCAGGAGAATGGCGTGAACCCGGGAGGTGGAGCTTTCAGTGAGCCGAGATGGCACCACTGCACCCCATCCTGGGCGACACAGCGAGACTCCGTCTCAAAAAAAAAAAAAAAAAAAAAAAAAAAGAAAGGAAGGTAAGGCAAAGTCCACAAACACCGGCTGAACTCAAAGTACAGAGTCTGAAGCCAAAATGTTAAGGTCTGCATTTTGACCCCATTACTTACTGGCTATGTGATCTTGCCTTAATCTAAGACTTTGCTTCCTTAAGTATAAAATAGACATAATGATAGCACTTTCATAGAATTGTAATGAGACTAAATGAATATAACTTCATTTAGTGACAGGCTTAAAATGGTGACTAGCCATAGTAAATGCTGATGCCAAAAGTTCAGTTATCATTCTCCTCCTGCTCATGAATCCACCTCTTCTCCCTTTCTCCATAAGGTTTTTTTTTTTCATAAAAGATTTAAAACTACATCTCAGAGTTGGAAGAAAGGAGTCTCAGAGTGGGACAGCAAAGAAGAAAGAAAAGGGGAAAAGGGGAAAAGAACATATATTCAGTATTAAGGACATGATGTTTAGCCTTCTCACATAATGCGGCTCAGTCCTCAACATAACAACCATGTGAAATACGGTAAGTATCATTTGTGTTTTACATAACATGAAACTGAAATTTGGAGCTTAAATTACTACCCAAAAGCCAAAGAAGTCCCTTACTATGTAAACTAGAAGTGGTAGAGAAGGAAGGAAGCAAGGAAGTAAACAGCAAGAGAGGGAGGAAAGATAAATGACTTAATTATGTTAGAGGGAGCATTATGAAACTTTCTGAGCAAGAAGAAAGAAGTAGAAATTGACACAGAAAATGGACAAAGCAAATATTCTGACACATTTAAAGAACACTCAGAATTACAGAATGAGAAAAGCCTGTTTTTCTCTCCTCTCTTCCTAAAGTATTTCATTCACTGTGGCAGTTAGCTTTTGTTTTCTGACTTAAGTGCAGGCTAGCTTCTGAAATGAAAGAGAGCGTTCAAGTATTTAAAATACATTGCTAATTTTAAAATATTCTGCTGGGTCATGGCATTTTTGCCTACCACAACAATACAACGTATCTTATCTCGAATACATGATTATGTAATTTGAGTTAATTTCCTGGTAATTATTATCTTAGAATTCCTTAAACACATAATAATTCAACCTAAAATGCCTCTGAACATCTATAAAAAGATCTAGAGAAAAAGAAGTGAAAAACTTCAAAAGCGGGAGGAAAGTCATGTTCCAGAATGTTTTCTTGTAATCTTAAGTTTATCCAATATTCAAGACACTACTTTTTAATTCCTTTTCAGAATCTTCGAAGGTGGAAATGCAGACTCTCATACACCAAGGTAAGGACTGCTACCTGAGGTTCACCTTCCAATGATGCTAAAGCACACAGCACTCATGCAGACTCTCATACACCAAGGTAAGGGCTACTACCTGAGGTTCAGCTTCCAGTGATGCTATAGCACACAGCACTCATGCAGACTCTCATACACCAAGGTAAGGACTACTACCTGAGGTTCGGCTTCCAGTGATGCTATAGCACACAGCACTCATGCAGACTCTCATACACCAAGGTAAGGGCTACTACCTGAGGTTCGGCTTCCAGTGATGCTATAGCACACAGCACTCATGCAGACTCTCGTACACCAAGGTAAGGGCTACTACCTGAGGTTCAGCTTCCAGTGATGCTATAGCACACAGCACTCATGCAGACTCTCGTACACCAAGGTAAGGGCTACTACCTGAGGTTCAGCTTCCAGTGATGCTATAGCACACAGCACTCATGCAGACTCTCATACACCAAGGTAAGGGCTACTACCTGAGGTTCAGCTTCCAGTGATGCTAAAGCACACAGCACTCTCAAAATTCACTTTACAAGAAACAAAGCATCTCATAAAGTTAGAATGGAAACAAGCTTACCATTTGCTAGGTTCTGAAAACTATGGAGATTTAATAAATTTTCCAGAGACACGAAGCAAACCAAAGCCTTTTATCTCCTCTAATGAAACCTACCATAAAATTAAACTATTAGCTAAAATCAAATGATGTAAAATCACAACCTTAGAAATTCATGAAAATTAAATTTGTTATACAACCTACACAAAAAATTTTAACCAATGATAGATTTGCTTTTGCTCTAAACTCAAATTATTTTTGGAGTATTTTTTTTAAGTCAGTGTTCATGTTTGCCACTTTTTCAGCCAAATGATAGAATAAAAAGGGGTGCCCTTGATGACCAGAAATGAGAGAAATCAGTGAAAGATAGATGACATATAGGACTGACTAAAACAGAAAATCATGGTGCAGGGATAGGCATTTGAAAAGGGGAGAGCAGCCCATGAGTATTCAAACCTCAAAAGTGGCAGGTATGTTACAGAAGGGGATCTTGGGGTCCCCATTGAGAGGTGCCCACACCAAGCTCATTTCAGTGATTACCTTCTGGGAAAGAAATCAGCTGGAGATAAGAAGGTGATATAAGGGAATTTTATTTTATCTGAACAGTTTGACCTGTTTACGATGAGAATGCTATCAGTTAGGAACTTATGTAATGAACATAATTTAAAAAATCAACAGAAAAAAATGAACATACATTAAAAATGCACACACACACACACACACACACACATATATATATATAATAAAGTTTGCTTTGTAGAAATTGAGTCATGAAAACAAATTTACCAGTTCATAACTAAATCAGCATAAGAAAAATCTACCTCTGGGAATATTTGTGCTTAGGTTTGATCCTATTATATATTCCCAGACAGATACTCTTAGTTCCTGACTTATGTTTACATTATCACTTAGGCACAGAAGAAAGGCATCATTTCCACCAGCCCCAACCCCACCATTTTTTATTACACTGAAACTATAACCTACTAAATTACTCCCCAACATATGTACAGAAGGCAATCTGACTTAATAAAAACAAATTATTCCTGCTTGGATTATTTAGCATTATGCCATGTTATTTAAAACACACACACACAAACACACACACACAGAGAAAAAGCACTTAATTATACCAAACATACCCATAAAACTTTCTCTGATGCAAACATACAAAAGACCTATTTGAACAGTTTATCAGCATTACCAGAATTCAATTTGGAAGATGCAGTTAACAATGCAAGCTACATAAAAGTGAGTGACTCACACACAGAGTCAAATAAGTTATTTACAAGTCAGAAGGGCTATTTTCAAAAGCCTAAATAGTGGAATTCTATGTAAGTAAACAGAAAGTGGGTAGCTTAATTTTCTTTTTAAAACAGAGAGGGGCTGGTTGAAAAAAAAAAAATGGTTGGCAAAGCAACCATTTATTAAAACTGAGTAGGTTTGCTAGTTAATGATGTGGCCAAGACAAATAACACAATTTGGAGAAAATTACTTTAGCCCATTACTCCTTGAACCAAGAATATATATACTAATTTATAAGTGAATTTTGTTATTTCTACTTACTGTCAAAATGGATTAACAGGGATAAGAATTATCCTCAACAACCTGAAACAACAACCAAAACAAAAAAACAAAAAAAAGAACAAACAAAAAACAGCCAAAACATACAAAACAACCGTTTTTAAGACACAGAATGTCAGGTAACAAAGGACAGTGATCCTTGGGGTGCAGGTAAACAAATGAGATGAGTCCTATCGTAACCCAACTTATTGTCTTGTGAGAATTGGCAATCCTTGGTACAGGAAAGGAGAACCCAGGGATTCTGAGTTGAGGAGATATTGCTGAGAATCCAGGAAGATTAAGGCAATTTGAGTTCACAGAAAAGAATATTGGAAAACAGCTTCAGAGAGCAATAACTCTGAAGATCTGTACAGGATCCCAGTGAGTATTCACTTGAGTACTGACTTCCCAAGGTTGAGGAAAGACTACCCACAAGATTTCAAGATTTCGGGGTAACAATGGTCAGCACTACACACAGTACTTGTTCCCAGTGGAACATTAGACAACGTTTACATTAGACCACTTTTCCAGTCTGGAACTTGTTCCCAGAAAAGTGGTCTAATGTAAAAGTCATTAGAGTCCTTGAAAGAGGGGGAGAGGCAGAAAAATATTTGAGAACGTAATGTCTGAAAAACGTTCAAATTTGGTGAGAATAAATTTAAACTCATAGATCAAGGAGCTGAATGCCTTCCTAAGTGCAAGAAATATGAAAGATTTATACACTGAAAACTAAAAAGCAATACTGAAAGAAATTTAAAAACTAAGTAAATGAAGAGATATACCATGCTCATAGATGGAATGACTCAATATTTTTTATAAGACCTAAGCATAAAACCTAAACTAAAAAATAAATTATTAAAAAAGAGGATAAAATATTTGAGTTAGGCAAATATTTATATATATATATGACACAAACACCAAAATCCATAAAAGAACAAATTGATAACTAGATTTTATAAAAGTAAAATATTTATGCTGTTTGAAAGACGGTGTTATAAGAATGAAAAGACATGCCACAGACTTGGAGAAAATATTTGAAAAATCATATATCTAAAGAAAGGATTTGTATTAAGAAAAACACACACACATATATGCTAATATATATGTACACATATATATGTGTACATATAGATATGTGTACATATATATATATATATGCCTATATATATGAGCCAACAACTCTCAAAATCTGAAAATAAGAAAAGAAACTATTCTCCTAAAATCAGCATAAACAGACGCTTTACCAAATAAGAAACTGGGATGGCAAATAAGCACTAGAAAAGGTGTTTCACATCATTAGTCATTAGGGAAATACAAATTAAAACCATACTGCAATATCACTACCCATGTATTAGAATGACTAAAATTAAAAAGATGCTGTCATACAAAGTGTTAGTAAGAAAGTGGAGCAACTGAAAGTCTCATACACTGCTAGTGGGACAGTGAAATCATAGAACCACTTTGTAAACAGTTTGCCATTTGCTTACAAAATTTATCTATGAGAAATAGAAAGCCTGTGTCCATCCACAAAGACTTACTATACATGAATGTTCATAGCGGATTTTAAAATAATACCCTATTAACCAGAAGCTGAGTTGTTTCTACCAATGGGTCAATGTTGCAGTAACAAGCCCAAAACACTGGTAATTTATGAATAACAAATACTTATTTCTTGCTTACACAATGTCCATTATGGGTCACTGTGGCTCTGCACTCCAGATTCTGGAGATGACCCAGGAGACTGCCTGGCAGAATCACTCAATGGCTCTTAATTTTTTTGGCTCAGAAATGGATTACATTGCTTCCCTTGTATTTCATTGTTCAAAGCAAAGCACGTGCTCAAGCCTCACAGTGTTGGGATATGAAGGATAATCTTTTGAAGAGAGAGGCTCAGTGAGGATGAACAGCTAAGAGGGTAGCAAATATTTTGACAAATATGACCTACCACAGGACTAGACTCTTCTCTTGCCTAGTTTGAGACATTTTTATATTGTATTCTACCTGGATTCCTTCTATCTTACCCCAAAAATGACTGGATCACTGTGAATGTGCTGTCAGACATCAACAAAGAAGAAGGGCTCTTCATTAAAATAAATCAAAGGTCTAACCCAGTGGAACCTCTGGTGCCCTGGAACTTTATTTAGAGAATCCCAAATTTGCAGGAAGAATACAGTTCCCCTTTAGATTCAGATGTAGAAGACTCCAGAGTGAATATGATCAAGTTAAAATGCTCTTTTACTTACAAGTCAGTACTTCCAAGAAGTAAGAACTTTCTAGAATAATGCTGGTACTATAGTTGCTGCATTGCATCTGCACTCTGGCTGACCTTAGGCCACCAGGGCCTGCCAAGTCCTGTACTGCGTGGGCCCTCCTGATTTCTGGAGGCAGTTATGATTTCTACCACCTGCTTGACCCAAACCAGAACTTGCTATGAATATAAACATTTTGAAAAATCTACTAAATGAAAGATACCTTTTGGACTCCAAGAATTTATCAGAAGAAGGCGGAAAAAAGGTGTGCAGCCAAGTTATGCTTTTCACAAAATGAGCAGTTACATAAAGACAGGAAGACATTTTTATTTATTACAACGATTTATTTAACTAGGTCATTGAGCTGAAATATTTTAGTTATGCAATACTCACCTTTAATGAAAATAATAATAGTCAGCTCCCAGTGGTGCATTCTTCTAGGTTCTCTTTGCACTTTGCTCTTTTCACTGCTAAAGCTGTACCCAATGTCCTGCCACGCAAATACACCATCCTCTAGGCAAATCTGGTGTATAGACGTTTACTCATAGATTATTTACAAGTCTGTGCTTGCCCCTAACCCCCCTTTCATCTCCCCATAATAGACGTATCCTCTTAGGAACAAGACCTATATTTTACTCTGGGTTCCCAGCTCCTAGCACATACTTTTAAGGTATTCAATAAGTATACGAGGAATAATTTATTTCATGTTGTAAATACTGCTTATCAGTACCACATAAAATGAGGTATTTTATTTAGAAAAAATGTTTCCTAATCTCCGTTTGTCTTCTTAACATGCCACTGCTGAGATTAAACAGAACTGTAAACCTTTGCCATGTTATATTTTTCATAAAATAAGCTATCAATTAAATGTTTATCTCTATGCCAGCACTGTCCAGGATAAAGTCATTAAATCTAGAAAATTTAAGTGGATTCAATGAATTCCTCTATTTGAAGTCTTACTATGTTTAATAGCAAAACAAAATAGTTACCTAATGCAGTTCAATACACTTTGATATGATGTTATGATGAAGAAACATGAAAATTCTAAAAATGCCCATTTGTTGATTACAGAGCAATTAAGTTTTAAATGATTCGAATGAGTCTAGGAATGTAAATCTTAACCATTGCAGAAGTGAATTAAACATGTTTAGAGAAATCTCAATTAGTCAAAAAAGGTAAGGTAGATTATTCTAAGCACTTCAGGTCATTTCACGCATGAGTCTTTAAGTAAGAGGCAGCCCTGGTTATATTCAGGGGTTTGATGTTTCCATATTCGATATTGTTAGCTGGGTTTCCCAGAAGCAGAGGCTGAGATGAAAATAATTGTCCCATGATTTATTAAGGGAATGCATTTAGGGGAAACCTGTAAGGGAGTGAGAGATGTAGGATGGGGCAGAGGAAGGAGCTGGCAAAGATTTGGCATCTAGATGAGCTTGATCCCTGTGGAGTTCCCTGTTGAGCCCTGTGGTAAGGTAGAATAATCTACCTTACCTTTTTTGACTAATTGTGATTTCTCTAAACATGTTTAATTCACTTCTGCAATGGTTAAGATTTACATTCCTAGACTCACTTGAATCATTTAAAACTTAATTGCTCTGTAATCAACAAATGGGCATTTTTAGAATTTTCATGTTTCTTCATCATAACAACATATCAAAATGTATTGAACTGCATTAGGTAACTATTTTGTTTTGCTATTAAACATAGTAAGACTTCGAATAGAGGAATTCATTGAATCCATGTAAACTTTCTAGATTTAATGACTTTATCCTGGACAGTGCTGGCATAGATCCCACATCCCACCTAGAGGCAAGGGAGCTGCACGTTTACACCCTCATACGAGTCAGTCATTGCCTGTGTGCCACCCCTGGGAGGAATGCAACATAATGTACTCGGCATCTCAAGGGCTGGGTGCACCAGCCTCGGTAAAAAGGATATGGATAAGACACTCAACACATCTACTATTAAAAATACTCCACCTTTTTCAGGCAGACCTCTAAAGTGGGCTGTTATGAATAATTTCATTGCACCACCGCCCCTTTATCGAAACAGATCTGGAGTAGCTGTAGAACTTTTCTGAGGAGCTGAAGAACAGATCAGACTGAGAAGTTTCACATATCCCCACCCTCTCTGACTGAAGCCAATTAAGAAAGACTCAATGCCTCTTTTGGTGTTGAAGAATCCCAGCCACTCCAGGAGAAGTAGAGGACAGCTAATCTGCCACTACAAAACTCCATGATGGAGTTCTTGAAAACCCTTCTACACTTGAGCAATCACCACAGATGATTGTTGCAAAGCAAATGCTGGTCACCTGGATGAATCCCAGTATAAGAGAATTTGGTGTCTTTCTATGTCCCTGAGAAGCACTGCTACAGGTGTCACTGGGAAACCTCCACTTCATACTTCCAGAAAGCCAACCAAGTATGGCCAAAATAGTATCCAAAGGAAACATTATATTGTGATTCACTATTTTGCAAATTCTAGGATTTAGTCACAAAACTATTCCAATATGTCTTGCAGAAGTATTTTACTCAAGTGTAAAAAAATGTGAACAAGGAAAAAATAACCTGAGAATAGCAAGGAGTCTATCTCTGATTCTATCTTATTACAGGATAAACCTTTGAATTTACACACATAGACACACACATATACACACAAACTCACACTGCTTACATTTTGTAATACAAAAAGAAAATAGAAACAATTTGTGAACATAAAGCAGTTGAAACATTCACTTTTCTGTCAAAATGTTGATTGCTGCATTTCCAATCACGTTCATTTCTATGGTGGAGTTCTGAAGCCTTATGCCACCTGCAACCTGCCTGGATTATTATTCAATGTTGTATTTCCTTTATTCACATCAGAAACACAAAAGTGTTTAGAAGCCTCTTTGATAGATAATGTCAACAAACAAATACAGCTTGTCATTTACATCCTTGCAAGATTGTCAGTGACCCTTAAGAAAATATTTTGGAGGCCGGGCGCGGTGGCTCACGCCTGTAATCCCAGCACTTTGGGAGGCCGAGGCGGGTGGATCATGAGGTCAGGAGATCGAGACCATCCTGGCTAACAAGGTGAAACCCCGTCTCTACTAAAAATACAAAAAATTAGCCGGGCGCGGTGGCGGGCGCCTGTAGTCCCAGCTACTCGGGAGGCTGAGGCAGGAGAATGGCGTGAACCCGGGAAGCGGAGCTTGCAGTGAGCCGAGATTGCGCCACTGCAGTCCGCAGTCCGGCCTGGGCGACAGAGCGAGACTCCGTCTAAAAAAAAAAAAAAAAAAAAAAAAAATATTTTGGAATAAAAGCAGCTGAGAGAAAAACATTTAATGCATTTAATACATGGCTGATATTTTATCTTTCTGAATCTGAAAAAAGCTTTTTCCAACTTGAAAGTCTAAAAAGGGAAAAGTAACCATGGCATGTGACAAATTAGTACATCTGAACGGGTTAGAATGAAAGATATATGAGAAATTCAATTGACTAGAGTTTGCCTTTTTATCTGCTTTATCCCCTTGTATCTCAGTGTATCCCTCTGATATGGTTTGGCTATGTCCCCACCCAAATCTCATCTAGATTGTAGTTCCCATAATCCCCATGTGTCATGGGAGGGACCCCGTGGAGGTAATTGGATCATGGGGGCGGTTACCACCATGCTGCTGTTCTCATGATAGTAAGTTCATTGAGGTCTGATGGTTTTATAAGGGGCTTTTCCCCCCACTCATTCTTCTCCTTCCTGTTATCATGTGAAGAAGGATGTGTTTACTTCCCCTTCCACCACGATTGTAAGTTTCCTGAGGCCTCTCCAGCCCTGTGGAACTGTGAGTCAATTAAACTGCTTTCCTTTATAAATTACCTAGTCTCAGGCAGTTGTTTATAGCAGCGTGAGAACAGACTAATACACCCTCCAAGATTGAGGGAGGGTTTCCATACCTCTGTAGACCCCAAATCTCTGATTTAGGAGTAAAGTCCAAGCATGTAGATTTTTAATGCTTTCCCTATGTGATGGAAACATATATCACACATTTCCCTGTGTGAGTGCATGCCAACATTAGAATTGCTCCTATTAGCAGAATAAGCCCTAGGCTCTGCCACTAATTTGCTGTGCTCATTCATGCCCAAGTTCACCAGATGAGGTCCTCTAGTCTGAGATTCTGTGCCCAGTCATTAATGTTGTTTCTCAGAACTTGCCTTGAAAGTGCCTGGCACATAATGAACTTTTATATGACTAATGAACCTATATAATAGCATTAACATCACTAAACCCTGATCCTTAATGAACATCTGCCATGTATAGGGACCTTCTTCTGTCCTAAGAATAAGAAGACATATTTAAATACATTATCTTTTCTGCCTTTAGGCAGCTTACAATTGATTTGAAGAGTTAAAGTTAATCATCAGCACGAGAACAAGGGAAACTCTGGAAAAAAATAGATAACTTATTAAATATCTCTTTTGTTTGTTTGTTTTCCAGAGCTTATAAAAAACCCAATGGAGACAAATGAGTTTTGTGAAGGATTGGCTGTGGAGTATACATCTACTCCCTTAATCTAAGTTCTATGTTTGGATGAACTTCATCTAATAGAACCCTCCAGATTTGGACCACAATAAGAGTATCTCCTGTACAAAGTTCTGTTTGACAGTTTTCTCACTGTACCAGCTCAGTACCCACTGGATGGGGTTCCTGGCAATACAAGTCTATTATAATTAAGTGCTGGTTTTCAAATTATTATTCCCTGGGGAGCAGTGGTAAGCATCTGCCTTTCTAATTTCTCTCTCTTCATTTTGAGTTCTAGAAAGCTTCAGGCCACATAGCAAGTTCCTAAGAACATGTACTCACTTTAAACTACTTAGAAAGTGTCACCTGGTACCCACATGCACAACTGGGGGATATAGCAGTGAGCAAACTCTCCTGGAGTTTCTATTTGAATTGGGGTAGACAGACAACAATACTTACACATGGAAGTGAACAAGAAACAACTTGATTTTGATAAATGATCTGAAGAAAAGAAAGCAAAAGGAGATGACACAAGGGGACTATAAGGATAGTTCAGACAAGGTGGTCAAGGAGAGCATCTCTGGAAGAGTGATATCTCAAAAGAGACACATGACAAGAAAGAAGAAGCTAGCAGGCCGGTGGCTCATGCCTGTAATCCCAGCACTTCGGGAGGATCACTTGAGGTCAGGAGTTCGAGAACAGCCTGACCAACACGGTGAAACCCTGTCTCTACTAAAAATGAAAAAATTATCTGGGCATGGTGAGGGGGCGCCTGTAGTCCCAGCTACTTGGGAGGCTGAGGCAGGAGAACACTTGAACCCAGGAGGTGGAGGTTGCTGTAAGCCAAGATCACACCACTGCATTCCAGCCTGGACGACAGAGGGAGACTCCATTTAAAAAAAAAAAAAAAGAAGAAGAAGAAGCAGCAGCTAGCAAAAGATCTGAGAAGGTGGCCGGGTGTAGTGGCTCATGCCTATAATCCCAGCACTTTGGGAGGCCAAGGTGGGCAGATCACTTGAGGTTGGGAGTTCGAGACCAGCCTGACCAACATGGAGAAACCCTGTCTCTACTAAAAATACAAAATTAGCTGGGCATGGTGGCGCATGCCTATGATCCCAGCTACTCGGGAGGCTGAGGCAGAAGAATTGTTTGAACCCGTGAGGCTGAGGTTGTGGTGAGCCAAGATCGTGCCATTATGGTCTAGCCTGGGCAACAAGAGCAAAATTCCTTCTCAAAAAGTAAAACAAAACCAAAGATCTAAGGAAGCAACGGGTCCAAGAATAGGGAACAACAGGTCCAAAGGCCCTGAGGTATGAGCCAGCTTAGCTGCTATGTGTGTGCATTTGTGTTTTGTTTTCCTTGTTCTTAATTTTCTAATTTATTTCTATTTTAGAGTACCAACATTTATTTTATCATTATTTTACTGCCTATATACTTTGTGTCCATTGTCTTCGATCCATTATGAAATGAAGCAAGCCAGTTTAAAGATCAAATGGTTTTAACAGGATACTAGTCTTCATTTGCAGCTCTGTAGCATTCTGCAACATTTTTTTTAATCTAGAAGAATTTAAATTAATTATATATGTGGCCAGAATTACGCAGCATTGTTCTAACCTTAACTCAAATCAAATGTCCCGAAGTTATCTATAAGTTTAGATATTAGCTCAATATTTTTAACTAGGAAGATCTCCCCAAAAAACTGTCTGTTCAAGTACTTATGGCTTCAGGCAGAGAAGGGCTCTTCAGGCAAATTACTTGGCCAACATTTAGAAGGACATTGTTAAACAATGTCAACTATAAAAGTGTGTTCCATACAGTGATTTCTGAGGACCGACTTCATATAACTAATGTTAACTGTAAATATTTGATTTAAATAATTGAAGCTGATATGTCAGCATGTGATTAATGGAATGATGAAACTAGACCTGCATTTATAAGGTATGTGGGAGTGCCACCTTTAGAAAAAGGTAGAACAGCTAAGCCCATCCCAGTCAATCACACTTAGGAAGGGTCTTCTCTAGAGGGCACATTGCACCATTGTTAGGACAAAACAGAAGACTCAGGTTTTGTCTTAAGGTGCTTACAATAGAATTAGAGAGAGAATATGTTTTTATTTATTTGAGATTAATGTTTATTAGATAGAAATAAATGGCTGTTTTGGAGAATTGTGCTCTTAAATAGTGAGCTGGTTAATTAACCAGGGCTATGGCCTTCTCCTTTTTGATTATTTCCATCGATCGAGAGAACAATGTCAAGATTTCAGGCACTTGGAGAGAAAAATGTCTCCCACATTTTTTCCCACCATCATTTCCTTACCTCTAAATAACTATCCCACTTCAGCAGAGGGCATTTAGAAAAAGAGGTTAAAAAAAAAAAATGAAGGACTGCCTGCCCTGCTTACATTTGCCAAATATCTCTTTGCCATCCATAATACCCTCACATTCTGTGACTTTTTGATTGTGTTTTGAGCATAAGTTTTCAAAATCTACTTTATTACACACAGTCTCACTCCACTTGGCAAGCAGTCTGGATTTCTATATTTTTCCAATCTATAAAATTGCGTCCTTTGTAATTAAATTGCCTTTTATTTTTCTGAGTGAAAATGAGAACTGCATGTAGCATTTTCCAAAATGGAACACATTTTCCCATAATTGGGACTCTTTGGCATTCACTGGAAAATTAAATAATTTTAGAAATATTGCTATTAGTACTTTCAATAAAGAGGGGACTATAGAATGTTATACAAATAGATCTTTAAAGAAATATCCTTTTATGCACTGCTATAGGTAAATGGACATACTAATTTGTGAAGCTGTACAAAAGATACACATTTTATCCTGGGAATACAAAACCACAGTTTTAAAAATAATTTCTGGCTGGGCACGGTGGCTCACACCTATAATCCCACCACTTTGGGAGGCCGAGGTGAGTGGATCACAAGATCAAGAGATCTAGACCATCCTGCCCAACGTGGTGAAACCCCGTCTCTACTAAAAATACAAAAATTAGTTGGACGTGCTGGTATGTGCCTGTAATCTCAGTTACTTGGGAGGCTGAGGTAGGAGAATGGCTTGAACCCGAGAGGCAGAGGTTGCAGTGAGCCGAGATCACGCCACTTCACTCCAGCCTGGCGACAGAGCGAGACTCCCTCTCAAAAAAAAAAAAAAAAAAAAAAAAAAAAAATTCCTTCAAGCACAAAATAAATTGAACTATAGAGAAACATATGTTTTATTAAACTATAAATACATGGCATACTAAAATAATTCTTCAAGCTGCGAATGTTCATGAAAATTCACATCACTATTAAGTGATTATTTTATTCGAATCCTGAAAGTTATCATGATACTTAATTTTGCCTTTGTCATAGGAGAGAGATATTCAAGTAGATTTCAACTCCAGCTTGGGGAAAAAAAAAATCATGACTCACAGAAAACATCGACTTTCAACTGCTTTCATCAGCTGTGAATTTCAGATCAAAAAACCAATTCAAATGATTTATAAGTTCAGTGCTTACTCCATGATGGTCAGCATTATATTATTCAGGTGAAGGACAGAGAAGGACAGAGAAGGCACATAAACTCTAGTTGGGGGAGAACAATTACTATACAAAAGAATTCCCCCCCAAAATGGTAATTAAGGACTATTATAGGTAAGCTAGCCTACAATTAATTTTGAGAAAATTTACAAAAAATGAACTAAAATATACAGCCAAGGCAGAACAAGCTTAAAATGTTTATTAAGCATTCTGTTTGGCAAAACTACATGCAACCACCAACCAGTAAAAACTGAAATTCCTAATACTCTGCAGAGCAAGTAGCCAACTTAATAATCATTTACAAATAGAAGATATAACAGGTATTAAATATCAATATTCCTAGAAAAAGCCCCTTCAAAGTAAAATATATGTATCAGAAGTCATCCAAACAATTCACAATAATTAGTATTATCAAATTAGTGCTATTTAACTAGTACTAGTTTTGCTCGTTAGCAGTTCTATCAGAAGGCACTCAAGGCACTTTGAAAGAAAATATCTGAAGTTTTTTTTGTCTGCCTGGTAATGACATATTATAAAAAATTTATTACTAAAAGTGAATATACTACAATTTAACTTTTTAAATGAAAATGTATTTTACATGTTTCTTTTTCTTTTTTGGGAGGGTGGGGGGTAGGGGGATTAAGTCTTGCTCTGTCTACTCCAAGCTGGAGTGCAGTGGTGCGCTCTTGGCTCACTGCAACCTTTGCCTCCCCGATTCAACTTATTCTCTGGCCCCAGCCTCCCCAGTACGTGGGACTACAGGTACGCACCACCACGCCCAGCTAATTTTTGTATTTTTGGTAAAGACCAGGTTTCGCCATATTGGCCAGGCTTGTCTCCAACTCCTGAGCTCAGGTGATCAGCCCGCCTCAGCCTCCCAAAGTGCTGGGCATGAGCCACAGCGCCTGGCCAAAATTTGTCTATATTCAATAGTAAACTTTCAGTTTCAGTTGCCCAAACTGAGAGGTAGTTTTGTAAGTCTGCTTATAACACCATGTAGCTGAGCTTCAAGTTCAGTCCACACTGCAGTTCTCAAGCTGTGTGCTACTCTATTCTTCAGAAGGCTCCCTTAGTCCAGCCTCTGTCAGATCCTGGGGGAGCATCTGGATAGTACCTGGAGGACTTGACAGGAAACCCACCCTTCTATGGCAATCATCAACAGTTACAGAGCCCTCCTCATTGGTGACACAGAACACACCCAAAGGCTGTAATCTGGCTACACTAGGCAAACTAGCTAAAAATTGCAGGCAGATTGGAGAGAACTTATTCAGGTATAAATATGCCTTTCTCAGTGACGCTCTTCAGAACATCTCCTTCCCACTTCTCCTCCCCCCAGTTTCAGGACCTGACATATTTTTTCAATGCTTCAAGTTTGCTTCCTATCCCTTTTCTCATTCCTTGAACACTGGGTGTTAACCAAATCTGTTGTTTTTCTCTCCATTTTGTGGTGGTGGATATGAGCTTAATCATAATCCGGATTTTATTCTCTGTTCAGCTTGGGGATTGGACAGGGACCCCTGGCTCGCCACCCACTCAGGCACCAAGTCATGCTTGCAGAATCTTCTGGTAACTGCCTGACCCTGCTAACCTGGAAAACCATGTTCTAATGCTGCACCTTTAAATCTCTGAAGTAATCTGAACTATTACCTGGCGACCCTAGAGATGGAGAAGTCTCCTGGCCTAGCCAATTTCTCCTTTATTTCTCAGCTACTGTCCCACTACTGAGAAAACCTTTAGAAACCGATACCTAGATAGTTCACCATCACTATTACATGTAGTGCTCAGCTCAAGGAAATCCCATACCTAGAAATCCCAGAACTAAGACATGACTGCATGGAACGTGCTTTGTGCATATAGATTTGTGTTATGCTACAGGTTGGGTTCTGATCTTCATATCCTTTTCATTTCGAAATCGTCAACTACCTAAAAGATATTTTTCTCATAGTAAAGGGCAGAAATGCAAGAGAAGGAGTCATACCACACAAGCACATGTAAAGTCATTACATCCACTAACATTTGACTAGCTAAAGCAAGTCACAGGGCCAAGTCAATGCAGTAGATTGTCAACTCCACTTACACTCATGGCAAAGATGGAAAGCAAAAGAATTGTGAATAAATAACACCATCTATCACCAATGCTAGGGACATAAAAGTGAGTAATATAGATGGCTAAGTTGTAAAGGAGCCTGCGGTCTATTAAGAATTGTGACTCTGTAATGTTTCCTGTTAGTGGAAGCAAAGATATAGCATACAACCATTTTCCTCACAAAACTTTCCATTGTCAGTTAATAGACATAGATCTTGCAGTATTAAAGCTCATATAGAATGAAACTTATTTCATGTAAGCTAATGTTTTATAATTTCCTGTCAGGTTTAAAAATATTGTATCTTCTGAAATGTATTTCAGCATTATCTTATTGCTGAGAATGCACTGCATTTATCTTTAGGTTACTCATTCTATAATAAAAATAAAATATTTACATAAAAATGTACACTTTGATGGCTTGCACCTATTCTATAATGCTATAATTTGTTACCAATTAGCATTCTACAGCAGGTGACATAAAACAAATAAACAAGCAAAGTTGATAATAAAAAATAAGACATTAAACAAATATGTAAATTATAGTGCATATAATTCTACATTATTTTGAATATGTGCACTTCTTATTAATATTATTACTCCATAATAGAGAATACTCATGCCAGTTTGCCACAATGAAGAATTAATGACAACGAAAATTTCACATAGTAATTATCTAAAGAATTAGGCTTAACAGCCAGACTGTAAAACTGACTTATAAGCCATGTAAACCAAGCTTTTTACATGTATAATGAATGAAGTTTACATCAAAGTAATTTTGAGCATTTTTAATCTATGAAAAGAGCCTGCTTAACATAGCAGTTTTTAGATCATTAGTAGCAGAAAATTTTTTTCAGAATTGATATTTCATAAAACCTTTAACTTTACATTTTGAAGTTAGCAAAAATTACAAAAAAGCACCACAATCTATAATTTTGAGGAAAAAATAATGAAAATTTTAACTATTTAAAATATGCTTGTTTTCAAAGCTACCTTCCTTAATTAGAATAAGAAGAATTTCTACAGTTTCCCCAACATACATGAAATTCTATGCCCAAAATTAAAAATGCAAAACATAAAATAGTGCTGCATGTTTAAGGGTAAGCTCTCATTATTATTTGTTTCCTGTCATCTGTGTGTTATTTATATATGTATATTTATATATTTTGCTTTTGTTGAAGCTGTTTTCTCTCAATGGAATGTCCACATCTTAAATCTACTCAAGTTCTGTTGGCTCTGTGAAGCCTAAATTCAAAATGACACCTCCCTTCACTAATTTTTTTTTTCTGCTCAGTCTGTCTGTGTTCCATTATTAAACTCCCATGTTATGCTTTTTCAATATTTCATAACTTAATAACACACGAGTTGTGTATACTATTTGCAAGTTAAATACATGCATCTCCAACAAGTGCCATGAAACTAACCTTTTGCGGTTGTCACCATAATCCTTAGCATGATGCTAGGCACAAAATAGTTTCTCAACAAATACTTGATCTTTCACTCCTTTACTTGAGTTTCAGCCAGTGATAAAGAATGCTACCACTGCAAATTAACAAAACTGTGAGCACAGCTCTCCCTATGAATAATCTATTCCTGTTTTGAATTATTGATTAAATTTCCTTCAGATAAATTTTACTCAATAGATTTAAAGCCAGAAACAAGCAGGGAGGACTTTCTGGGAGAAAGTCAACCAAAACCCATGACAAAGAGGAGAGATAGATGGAACAGTCTATGTAAAGCACTAAGATGTGGTTTGGATGTGTGTCCCATCCAAACGTTAAGCCGAAATGTTATTCCCAGTATTGGAGATGGGGCCTAGTGGGAGCTGCTTGGATTATGGGTGCAAATCTTTCATGACTGTCTTGGCGCCATCGCCCTGGTGATGAGTGAGTTCTTGCACAATTAGTTCATGCGAGAGCTGGTTCTTTAAATGAGCCTGGCACATCCTCCCCACTCCTTTGCTTCCTCTCTTGCTATGTGACACACCTGCTCCCTATTCGCCTTCTGCCATGAGTGAAAGCTTCCTGAGGCTTCACCAGATGCTGGTGCCAAGCTTGTACAGCCTGCAGAACCACGAACTAAATAAACCTCTTTTCTTTCTAAATTACTAAATTTCTAAATTTCAGATATTCTTTTACAACAAAGCAAAAATGGGCTAATACACACTAGTTACATGGAAGTTGATACATTTTTGGTGTTCTCTCCTTATTATTTTATACTATTTCAGATGCCTCAGGAAGGATATAATCAATGTAACCACCATTGGATGGGTTCTTATGTCTGCCCGTCTTCCTTTGGTCCTAATACCTGGCAGACATCCAAACGATTAGATAGGAAAGGAGACTTTTAATACCTTACAATTAAGTTGCTGCGGCAACTCTACAGCTTTGCCTCCCAGTTAGCAACATCTCTCAAAATTGAACATGCGTTGGAATTGCTTGGGGATCTTTTCAAGCTGTACTTCAGTAGATCTGGAGGGGCCTGCGATTCTGTATGGCTCATAAGCTTGCAGGTGCTGCTGGTCTAGAGACTACTCATTAGATTCATGCCCAGAGATTCTGATTTAGTTGGTCTGGGGTGGATCTTAAATGTCTGTACTCTTTGGAACCCGCTGAGTAATCCTCAAGTACAGCCTGATTTCAGAAAAACTACAATGGACCATCAGTTTCCTGAAAAAAATCCTTTTCCTACAGCTGGTGTTTGAATAATCCATCATGGTAAGGAAATAGTGTGACTGCAGAATCTTTGATCAATGGCCTATATGATGGGGTGGGAGCCTCCTTTCCATCATTTTAAGCTTCTGGTGATATGTAAACATATAGCTTCCTCATCATTTTGAACATCACACACACAAAAAAGCCATCCTAATACAAGTGAAGATAAGATATTCCAAGGCCCGTCTATTCAGAGTGCTCCAAGGATGCTGTATCCACCTTCTCTAAGATCTTTTAAGAAAAGGAAAATTTCAATCCCTATCCCAGACTCACTGAGTCAAAATTTATATTTTTAATAAGATTTTAAGGTGATTTGTGTGCTCATTAAAATTGGAGAAGGCTCTAATGAAGAAATTCTCTTGCATGTTTTCAAAAGCTTTATATTAAAATATTTGATAAAAGGATAGTTTTAATATAGTATCTGAAGCACTTAAGGAAATTAACTTTAGCATCCAGCCAGAATGAATAATATGAGTAGAATATTAGATTCTTTTTGTTTTGTTTTAGCGAGGTAAAATTTAGGTTACACCAAGGAGCAAAGTACATATTCTTCAAGGTGATCAACAGCTTTGCTGTGTGAGATCATGCTTCATCAAGTCAGCTGTGCCAAATCAGGCTGACACACTTGACACACTTGACACACTTGAACAAGAAGGAAGTGACTGATCTGTGGTTTCTTCAGGATTGAGGTACAGAATCCATTGCAACACTTTTACTTCTCCTCTTTATTCCTTCCTACCATCATTTTGTGTCTTTGTGAACTCCTGTAAGCTGCTCTACTAGGTCTCCCAGGAAACATTCTTGCAAAAGTGACCACCAGTAGCCGTGGGGGCCAAGACACAGTGTTTTGGTTGGTGCCGGAAATGACTGTAATAGCCTTAAACTCCACATTTAAGAGCACAGAGCAATGACATCTGCATCCCTGGAGTCTGTTAGAAATGCAGAATCTCAGGTCCCACACCAGACCTGCGTCAGAATTGGCATTTTAACAAGATAGGAAGCAGTGGTGTATGACAGTGTGTTAGATACTGTCTTTGTAGAGTTGTAGAGAAGCAGCCATGTGCATGATTGGAAGTTATGGAAATAGTAATACAAAATAGCATATACTCTTTACCAGTTATCCTAGTATTAATCACAGAAGTGTGCTATCACTTTCTACCTTGCATTGATTATCCTATTGTTTTTCTTTACTTCATACAAACATTGTTCCTATACAAGATATTGGCTATATCTAAGATGTTATATATCTACCAAATAGTCCATGTGAAGTGAAATCCTTTACATACACCAATTATCTGAAAAAAAGTGTGCAAGTGTCTGAAAGATGTTGTTGGTTTTAAAAAGACAAGGTGTAGAAAAAAGTTACATTTGTGTTTCAACTTCATGTTACCAGCTGTGTGACTCCGAACACAGGCTGAACTCCTCTGTGCCTCAGTTACCTTGTTTGTAAAATTAGAATAGTTATACCTCACTTTCTGGTTTGTTGCAAGGACATCTCTGTCTTTTTTTCCCACTTATTTTTTTGAGACAGGGTCTTGCTGTGTTGCCCAGGTTGGTCTCCAACCCACAGGCTCAAGCAATCCTGCCACCTCAACCTCCTGAGTAGCTGGGATTACAGGCATGCACCACTGCTCTCGGCTGCCAGGGTATCTCCTGATCTTCATTATGTCTTCAGTAGCACAGAGTAAGCCTCCACCACCCAAAATGGCTTTTGAACAAATGAATAAAGTGTATTTTAAAAAACCTTACTGGCATATCTTGGGTACCACATAACATAAATGTCTCCCTTATCTTAATGATTGAACATTTTTCATGTAAGATCTTTGATTGAAAATATACAATCCCATTATAAATTCATGCACTCAATGATTTCTCCTTGCCAAATATACTAAAGAGTGTGTGTGTGTGTCTGTGTGTGTGTGTGTGTGTGTGTCTGTGTGTGTGATCTTGTTTTTTGACTAGTGTATATTGTTACTAGATATCTGGAAGCTTTGGTCTGAATTACTCAATGTTTAATCATACCTGGCGAACTTCAGGTGAAAGCAGCAGAATATTATGGAATGAGGAGGGTGAAGAATTTTATCACTGAAGTGAAGATAATAAAATCATCAATTGTGGTCACACTTAGATCTCTTAAAATTCTTAATGGGCAATGTACTTCCCCATTCTCTGAACCCAGAACCAACCTCCCATCCTTTGACAATCATCCAAGGTCCAGAAATGTCACATCTTAGTCCCCAGCCTAAATGCAGAGCCCATAGACCACCCAGCATTACACTTCTGGTGCTAGAGCATGAATGCCAAGCCTGAAATCGAGTGGCTTTATGGCTCAATAGTCAGTCCCTTATGAGGGCCTACAGCAGCATCCAGCATGTTGCATGTTCTGCTCCTTCTGCCTCTCCTCCACCATAATCCCTGCCACTCTACCCCTCATTCATGTTTGCTCATCTTTAAACTTGCCAAGCACACTCCGATCCAAGGACTTTGCCCCTGCTGTTCCCTACACCTATAATCATTTCCCCAACAAATATCCACATGATTTATGATTTTCTCCCTCAGAGCATTTCAGCCTCTGCTCAAATGTCATACTCTGACAGCCCATCTTCCAGTCCATGCCACTCCCGCATCACCCTCTAGCATGTCATTTTGCTTTATCTTTCTTCCTAGCATGAAACTCTACCTGCCATTGGGTTGTATTTTTATTTGCTTATTATGTATAAAAAGAGGAATCTCATTTTATTCATGGCTATATACCCAGCACTAAGATCATTACAAGGCACATAGCAGGTGATCAGTATTTGTTAAATAAATAAAATCATCTTCATGTCCTGCCCCTCTTTGCCACTGGGGCATGGGAACGAACTGGATGCCCTAATGATATTCCTGCCTAATTTACAACACATGCTCAAGTGAGAGACAGGCAAGAGTCAAGACTATTGCAGACAATTAATTAACTGTCTTAATTCAATAAGATTTCTTAGAGGCATCAGTGGTGTTCTGGAGCATGTGATCACTTCTTGTTTTTAAAGATAATGCACCATATTCCCATTTGAGAAAAAATTCACCATATTATATAAATGGGGTTAAGGTTCTGCATCAGGTTTTTGTACTGCTGCTGGTTTTAAGACTCAGGCTGCTGAGTGCCCAGCCTTTGCAAGAATCCACTTCAGGAATAATGACATCATGCCTTAACTCTTCTGAAACACATTTTCACTCACTGAGCAGTTCAGACAAAACCAATTACATGATGTCATTTTCTATTTTGGAGAAGAGGCCAGGGTGCTTGGATGGATATTTACTTCACATTATTGCACTAGAGCTGTGGCAGGCACCTCGGTCTTGATACTAATGGCACCTGTTGAAATGATAACTAACAAGGCTGGATTGTCAAAATCAATTTTCTTGCTATGTGTGATGCTTTGCTACTCAGTTTAATGTTCAAAGGAGATTCAGGAGATATAAAGAGTCAGTTATTTGTTTTGTAAATTGAGAACAGATCAATAAAATGTGCCTTCTAGGAATGCCAAAGACATCTTTGAACTAATTTGAAGAGAACTTATTAAAGAAATTACTTAACATGTGGATATATTAATTATTAGCCTAAGACTAATGTATAATTAATGTGTGCGTGCATGTGTAATTTTTTTTTCCTTTGGAGATAACTAACTCCAATTCATTAGTCAGATTAATTTCAACACTGTAAATATAAAAAAGCAAATATTCAGCAGTGTATGTCAAGATCACTGCATGTTCACCAAAATCCATTTCATCTTCTTGAGCATATGTGGTTGGATTACATGCCCCAGTGTCCCTTGGGATGAGGTTTGGTGATATGACTGACTTCTAGCTCACAGAGTTAGAGCTAGAGTCACATTCACAGAAACCTTCCACTGGTGACCGTCCATACTCTTTCTCCTTCTGGCTTGATGCAGCCTAGCAGGGTAAGTTGGATGTCTCTGTTTGTAGATGATGGGTTTACAAGATGGAAGAATGCCGGCCATGTGAATCATGGCTTGAAGGGAAACAGTCCACCAGAAAGAGCATTTTGTAAACAACAATGTAAACTTCAATAGTGTTAAGCTACTGAGATGTGGGGGTTTATCTTTCATAGCAACTAGCCCCAGGAAGAACTGTGGTGACCTTCCTGGTCCCTATCTTGCATCATATTTTCATAATCGAGCACTCTAATTGGCTACTCTTCAATTCTTCACCATACTTGGGTGATCAATGCAACATCTCAATGACGAAGATAACTTTTTTTTTTTTGAGACAAAGTTTTGCAGTGTTGCCCAGGTTGGCCTTGAACTCCTAGGCTCAAGTAATCCTCCCACCTCAGCCTCCCCAGTAGCTGGACTACAGGCATGCACCATCATACCTGGCTTAAAGAGAACACGGCTATTCCAGAGAGAGTTGTTCTATAAAGTAATGGTATATATGTATATCTGGAGTCAGAGCTAAGCTCTATAATATCAGTTTAACTAGTTAAGGTGGCTTTATTATATTGGGGCTTGACTTATCCATCATCTGGCTTCTACTTCACAGTAAAATTAAGTGGTCACCAGAACCCCAGTGATGGGGCTGGTATTGGTAAAAACATAAAATTAATTAGAAAATGTATGAAAGCAAATAAATAAAATGAAAAGAACATAACAATAAAAGAAAAGGGCCATTCTTTTGAGTTAATGCTTCAATTTGGCCCCCAAAAAACTCCACAAAGATTTGCAAACAATAATATCTTTACAATCAAGTATCTATGCTGAATTTGCCTTGAAACAAAAATTCTGCTACTTCACCAAAAATAAGAGCTAAATTTCCTAATGGACACATTGCTAGTACCTTAGGGGAGAAATCAAAAATAATTATTTTTTCACTTATTACGAATATGGAATAGTTTAAAAATTTTGCATACTTTCAACCTGAAGCAATGTGAACTGCCAAAGACTATTTTTTTTGTAATTCTGGAAAGGACAATAAAAAAGCCAGTAACAACTCAACTATTAATTCCTATTTTTAGAAATAGCTGCATTCTCCCTAAATTTATGAGGAAATATGAGATTCACTAAAACATTACCGAAATGAGAAGATCTTTATAATTAAACTGTCTGCATTGAAAAAGTTGCTGTTCTTGAAAAGAGAGAAACTTACCCAGCTAAAACACAGGAAAAGGAGGGTGATTCAAAGCTTGAACCCTGAGGAGCAGCATGTATTAAATTTAGAGCTCTTTGAAATACATAACAAGGCGAGTCTGCAAAATCCAATTCACCTAGCAGGGGGTCAATTATGCACTGTAATACAAAATAAACATGCCAGCTAGCTGAGAGGAATCACAAACTGTCTCAAGTCTTCCCAGGTTTTTTTCTATTTCTGTTCAATTAATATTAGTTTTAATTTCATAAAATGTCAGGATCCTTCCCATATTAATTCTGAGTTTGTAACACGTAACTTAACAATTGCTGCTGTTTCATCCAGTCTTTGTACCTGTCCAGTTGTCACAATCTGAGCTCTCCAGGGCAATATACTTTCTTTAAGAAAAATTAACATCCTTAAAGCAATGCTTCCCCGAGTGTGTTCCACAGAACACAAGTCCCAAAAGAAATGATTAGGGAAAGTAAAGGGTTTTATTTTCATGTACAGTCCTTGCTTTGAACACTTACAATGTCTATTTACATATTAAAGGTTCAAGGAAGCCCTTGAGTTAAAACACTCCATCCCGTTTATTGAGCCTATGGTTCTCCAGACTTATTAAGCCACAGACCCCTTTTTGATATAAAACCTATTACATTCCATGGAACAATTTGGAAAATGGTGGTATTAAATATGACACAAAGATACAGATTAAATACTGTATTAGAACCAATGTGTAAATTGTACATTATTATTTTCCAAACAGTAAACCAAATATTAACCTGTTCATAATTGGTAAAACTTAGTTATCATATTTGCAAGTGTTCCACACTATTTAATTCTTTTTTTTCTCATTGCAATTTGTTTAGTAATTACCCACTTTCTACCAATAGCTACTCACTAGTCACCAAAAGGTTAAGGAACAAAACAAGACCAAATCAAACAAAACAAGACCAAAACAAAGAAGAGCACAAAAAAGTTATTCAAATTTTACAATTAAATTTTAAAAAGAAAAAAAAATTAAAAAATGGGCAAATAATCTGAATACACATTTCTCCAAAAGAGATAAATGAATGACCAGTCTGGGCAATATGGCGAGACCCCATTTCTAAAAAACTAAAGAGTTTGTGCTTTGTAGTCCCAGCTACTTGGGAGGCTGAGGTGGGAGGATCACTTGATCTTGGGAAGTCAAGGCTGCAGTGAGCTGTGATCGCACCACTGCACTCCAGCCTGGACTAAGAGTGAGACCTTGTCTCAAAGGATGGAAAAAGAAAACAAAGTAAGCAAATGCACATGCAAGAAGCTCAGCATCACTAGGATTAGGGAAATGCACATCAAAACCACAACAAGATACCATTTCACACCCACTACTGTAAACAAAAAGATAAATATTAGCAAGAGCTGGTGAGAATGTGGAGAACGTGGAATCATCATACACTGCTAGTGGAATTGTAAAATGATTCAACTCTTTAGGAAAACTGTCAGTTCCTTATGGTTTAAACATAGTTTCCATATGTCCCAGGAATTCTACTCCTGGGTATATACCAAAGATACATGAAAACATATGTCCTCACAAAAGCTTGTACATAAATGTGTTCTTACTCATACAGCCAAAGTGTGGAAGTGGCTGAAATGTCCATCAACTGATGAATGGGTAGATAAAATGTGGCATATTCATTCAATTGAATATTATTTGACCATAAAATGGAATAAAAAACTGATCCATTTTACACGGATGGATCTCAAAAACGCTAGGCTATATGAAAGAAGCTGGTCACAAAAGACCACATATTTTGTGATTCCATTTCTATGAAATGTCTGGAAGAGACAAATCCATGGAGACAGAAAGTAAATTAGCGGTTGCAAAGGGCAGAGTGAATTGAGAAATGAGGAATGACTATTAATGGGGACAGGGTTTCTTTTGGAAGTAACAAAATGTTCTAAAATTACATTGTAGTGATGGTTGCATAACTCTACGAATACGCTGAAACCTACAGAATTGTACACTTTATATGAGTGAATTGTATGGTGTGTGAATTATATCTTAATAATGCTGTCACTTAAAAAATAGGTGACTGGTTACTTGTTACTTGTTAAAACTCTGATAAATGGCTGCTGTGAAACAAAGCAAAGCTGGAAAAAATGGAAAGCTTTTGATTTTTATAAGAATTTTGGTCACTGTTTTCTCTCTTTTCTTCAAGTATTTCAATTAGTAACAATGGTTGTGGGTACACATATGTACTTTTTTTTAAAAAAGAAGCTGGAACTCAGTAGGGTTACACTGACAAAAACCTGTGGTTACAGCACTGAGACTAATTTTCACATCAATCAAAGACCTAAATAACGATGGTTAAAACACCCTAAAATATTACTTGACATAATGAAATGACAATTTGTGAGAATAACACGACTAGGATACTTGAATTAGGATATTAATTTAGGGGCCTCCCACCATTTTAACATTTTGGCATATAAGTCATTGAACACCATTAAAATTAGCGTATCTAAGCATACTTTGTTCTCCTATATATAATCTGAGTATTCTTAAGTTCTCTTCTACTATGAAACTTTCTTTCCAGCAAAGAGGGTGTTCTCAGGATATAAACCACCTTAGGGAGGCTTCTATTATTTCATACTTCAGTCCTGTTTCCTGAAAAAAGAAATGCAAGCTCTTTGAAGGCAGAACTCAGGTCTGATGCTTACGCTTTCTTCATCTGCAAAGCTTTGCTACTCAAAGTGTGGTCCATAGGACGGTAGTGTCAGCATCGCCTGGGAAATGCAGCAATCTCAGGACCCACCTCAAACCTGCTGAATCAGACACTACGGGGGGTGGAACTTGTAACTAGCTCTGTAGGTGACTCTAATGTACCCTTCCGTTTGAAGAGGGAAAGATAAATGACTGAGTTATGACTCTCTCTAATATTTCCTGACTATGTCATTTGGGTAAGTTACTTCAGGTCTCTGCATCTCAGGCTCTAGGTTGGCAAGATGAGGATAAAATTAATATCATTTTTATAGCACTGTTGTGAATAATTAAATTAGATAATGTATATAAATTAGCTTTTAAACATAAAGAGTTACATAAATGGCAGTTGCCATTATAATTACTAAGCAAGTCACAAATAGATAACTAATGAAAACATACCATTTGATGTATTGAATAATGTCAGTCATCTGTCTAAACAGCAGGATGTTTTAAAAAGCAGGAAATGTTTTGAATCAGGACGATATTATACTAAAACTTGCATGTATTGTGGCAGGTATGATGGTAAGTGACTTACACACATCACTCCATTATGCCTTATACAAAAAGTAAAAATGTACAGTTATCACAGAAAATCATCCATTTTACAGATGAGGAAACTTAGTTTCCAAAATCATTCAGATGTTGATTGTAATCAACTGATTATATATCCAAGACTCCAGAGTCCATACTCATATAAGTACTGCACTAAAACTGATTCTCACTTGTAACCTAAATGAGTTTTTCTTCTTTATTAAGGTATAACATACATATAGTAAAATGCACACGTATTAAATGTACAACTTTATGAATATTTATATATGTAAACAGACTTATAACTACTACCTAGATCAAAATATAGAACATATAGAGCCTCTATAAGGCTCCCTCACGCTTCTTCCAGTCAATATTTCCCAGTCCCAGGGGAAAACTCTATTCTGACTTACAGGACCATTTATTAGTTTTGCTTGTTCTTGAATTTCCTATAAACAGAACAACAGAGTAAGTAGTCTTTTGCACATGACTTCATTTGTTTTATTTGTTCCACACAATCTCTGTGAGATTTATCCACATTTTTCCTGTAGCAGTGGTTTGTTATTTCATATTGCTAAGTAGAAGCTTATATATTTGAAAGATAAATAGGAAAATGCTAGTTAAATTCTTTTCATAATCATCCTAATGGTGCAGACAGCAGAGCCTGGCTGGTTTCTATTAGACAATGTGGTTGAGTTGAAGAACAACTAAATAAGAAGCCTTGGATGTGTCAATCACTGAAAGTCTTTCTTGTGTGCAAGTTCAAGGACACATGTTCTGATAAAAATCCAAAACCAAGATGATGAAAGCACCCTGGAAAATGCTCAAAAGATAAAAGGAGAAAAGGATGGATGCTATGTCATTATAGAAATAAAGTACAGATTACCTGGACATCTGGTGAAAAGGGAAGGAACTCAAATATAACACTGTATACCTACTGTCCATGGAGTTCATGGTAGTTCATAGAGGCCTTTATTATAAGCTTTAGGAAAAGAGGCTGCCCAAATATTCATGAAAATAGGCACAATTCCATAATAGCTTAACTTGACTGTTAGCAAGGTATCAAGGATGTAATTCTGAGTCAGAATCTTCAAATGACCCCAGTGAGGAATAAATGGAGATGATAAATGATGACTGGGTGTGGCTATCCATGGAGCCCTTTGATTAACACACAGGTGGATTTATAAGTCAAATTCATGTTAACTGATTTAATTCTTCTCTGGCTAAAAAAATCATAAATACAATGTGTGTTGACTTCAGGAAGGCATTTGGCAAAATATGTTCTTGAAGATAAAGAAATATGGACAGGCATGGTGGCTCATGCCTGTAATCCCAGCACTTTGTGAGGCCAAGACAGGCAGATCACTTGAGGCCAGGAGTTTGAGACCAGCCTGGCCAACATAGTGAAACCCCATCTCTACTAAAAATACAAAAAATTAGTTGGGCATGGTGGCACATGCCTATAATCCCAGCTACTTGGGAGGCTGAGTCATGAGAATCGCTTGAATCAAGGAGGCAGAAGTTACAGTGAGCTGAGATTGCACCACTGCATTCCAGCCTTGGTGACAGAGGGAGATCTCAAAAATAAAACAAAAGAAAAGAAAGAGAAAGTATTCCTAACAGCAGACCTAGTCAATGCCACATCATACACGAGTCTCTACCTAGAGGGGATATTGAGGCTTTAATCTGATCTGGGTCAACATTTTTACAACAGTGTAGTAAAAACATTCAAGTTGTGATGGCCAAATGTATGCATGACATGAAATTGGGGAAAATTGTGACTGTTAAGTGATAGAATTAAGATCCAAAAAATTTTACGGAGCTCAGTCAAACCTACAAACAATAAACTTAATAGTACTAAATTTAAGGTCTTTAATCTGGATCCAAAACACAACTGCACAAGTAAAAGATGGGGAAGAACATTATGTTGCCTTTGGATTTAGCTGATTATAGGCTCAATTGTTAGTATTTTGTTGTGGATGGCAAAAAGAGCTGCCATGTGTGTTTTGTTTCTCACACTATGCCAGCCTAGATTCCCTGTACAGCTCTTTTGTTTTTTTTTAATTATTATTACACTTTAAGTTTTAGGGTACATGTGCACAATGTGCAGGTTAGTTACATATGTATACATGTGCCATGCTGGTGCGCTGCACCCACTAACTCGTCATCTAGCATTAGGTATATCTCCCAATGCTATCCCTCCCCCCTCCCCCACCCCACAACAGTCCCCAGAGTGTGATATTCCCCTTCCTGTGTCCATGTGTTCTCATTGTTCAATTCCCACCTATGAGCGAGAATATGTGGTGTTTGGTTTTTTGTTCTTGTGATAGTTTACTGAGAATGATGATTTCCAATTGCATCCATGTCCCCACAAAGGACATGAACTCATCATTTTTTATGGCTGCATAGTATTCCATGGTGTATATGTGCCACATTTTCTTAATCCAGTCTATCATTGTTGGACATTTGGGTTGGTTCCAAGTCTTTGCTATTGTGAATAATGCCGCAATAAACATACGTGTGCATGTGTCTTTATAGCAGCATGATTTATAGTCCTTTGGGTATATACCCAGTAATGGGATGGCTGGGTCAAATGGTATTTCTAGTTCTAGATCCCTGAGGAATCGCCACACTGACTTCCACAACGGTTGAACTAGTTTACAGTCCCACCAACAGTGTAAAAGTGTTCCTGTTTCTCCACATCCTCTCCAGCACCTGTTGTTTCCTGACTTTTTAATGATTGCCATTCTAACTGGTGTGAGATGGTATCTCATTGTGGTTTTGATTTGCATTTCTCTGATGGCCAGTGATGGTGAGCATTTTTTCATGTGTTTTTTGGCTGCATAAATGTCTTCTTTTGTAGGGCTCTTCTGCTGGAAAAGGATGAAAACAAACTAAAGACTCTGAAGAGACATTAACACTGACTCCAGGTTTCACCCTGAAGATATCTGCTGAGTCTTGGCAACCATGAGCTTCCATTTGTATGATTTCAAATGTGTGAGTTGGAGCAATCAGAGAAAAAGTCTAAGGACTTTCCAATGTGGGGAGTCTCACTAGAGATCCCTTATACAATTGGAACAGCAGCATAAGCTGTAACTGGCAATAAATTCTTTCAGAAAACAAGAAGGGAAATTGCCTGATGAATTGAGCACTAAGTGAAGGAAAAAAAAAATCTCCAAAGAGATTTCATACCCACAACCTGGTCGGTATTTGAGTTTATGGCTTGCATCATACTACTTTTGTAGGGAGTTGGGGAATGAATTTATTGGCCACTGGTTGATTTCCCACCTCTACCTCTGTGGACAGCTACTTGAAGCAAACAAAAATCATCCTTGACGTGAACCCAGGTCTCAGACAACACTTAAAAGAAAGTTCCATGAAAATATATAATATATAAAATAACAAGTCAACATGAATAAGAAGAGCACAAATAACAAACAACTTCAACCCATAATTCTAATAGATATAGGAATTATCTAAGAATGTCTAACACATTTCAGGAAATAAATAAGAAGATGATAATATGATTAAGGAAGAAGTAACTATTAAAAAATGACCAAATCAATTTTAAAATAAAGCAAAAAGAATATCTAGGAATTAAAAATATGGTAATTAAAATTAAAAACCAATGGATGTTGTCATGCTTGGGGTCAAGTTCCAACCCCAGCTGAGGGCTGAGGGGAGTGGGTGGATGTGGGGCAGGGAGCTGGAAGAACACTTGAGAAACAGCAGGTAGATGAGACATGGCTTTATTCAGCAGCTGCCTCACAGGGTCAGTGTTACTTTTATACATTACACAAACAATAGTGGCTGAGAGCTAGGTGGTGAGCTTCTCTATGTTATGGCTATGGCGGTGAACTTTTCTATGTTATCTCTACACAGCTATGATTATATAAGACATGGGACTATGCACTTGTACCACAAACCTGCTGAGTCATCCAGGTTGTTTACCTTGGCCTATGCCTGCTTGGGTGCAGCACAGTCATGTTCCTTACAGATGTTTTATCAGCAGATTAGACACAGCTGAAGGAAAAATTATTGACCTAGAAGATAGTTATGAAAAAGTGATTTAGAAGGCAGCACAGTGAGACAGCTAGGTTGGAATCATAAGAAAGTTGTTGGAGGGCACGACAGAGTGGAAAAGTCTATTGAGAAAAGGAAAACAGAATGAATGGGAGGGAGGCAAAGTAGCAATGGGCTATAAATGCTAGAGAACTGATTACCTCAAACCTCAGATTTAGGAAGCACAACAAATCCTGAGGAGGAAACTTAGAAAGACATATACCTGGAGACTTAGTGAAATTTCAGAACACCCAATACAACATGAAAATATTAAAAGCAACCAGAGGAAGAGATTACTTCAGAGGAATAACAATTGCCATGACTTGTCAACAGCAACAGTGAATATTAGACTATAGGAGAAACTGCTGCCAATGTGCCAAGAAGAAACAACTGTCAACCGGGAACTGAAAACCCAGTGCATCCAACTTTTAATACAAAAGATTTCAAAAGGCCATTTTTCATTCAAACAAATGGAAAATATTTAACAATACTCCCGGGAGGATTTCCTACAGAACCAACTACAGTCAGAAGGAAAATAATCCCAAATGCAAAGTCAGAGATGCATGAAGGAGAGGTAAATAAAAAAAATGCTGATAAATATGTGAGTGAATTTCTATAAGCATTGATTGTAGTAAAAATGTCTAATGTGTGTGGTTTAGGAAGGTGTAATTAAATACCAGACTAAATAGCTGAAGCTAAAATGCTGAACATATTTTATCATTCAAGAGAATCATAAAGATTTTGATTAAAGTTACGTATACAAGCCAAAATTTCTGGAGTAACCAAGAGATTAGAAAAAAGAGTGAAGTATATAATTTCAAGCTAGTTCAAAGGATAAAATAGAAAAAAATTAAACCTGGCAAAAGTGAGACAAATATAGAGCAGTGAAAAATGGCTGTAGTAACTACATCAACATAAATACATTTCAAGTAGCATTATTGGATGAAAAATGAAGTTTCATAAGAATACATGCAATATGATTCCATTTTTGTTCAGTATGATTCTTTTTTTAAAGAAGTCCAAAACATGTAAAATTAAACAATATATCTTTAGAGCTGCCTGGTATGTAGTATGACTGTAAGAGAAGAATGAGAAAAGTAAATGCAAAATTCAGATCAGTGGTTATGTTGGTAGGGAAGAAAATGAAGGGATAAGGGAAGGGTACACAGAAGGTCTCTAAGGTAGGGAAAGCTGCTTATTTTATTATTATTCTTTGAATCTTTGAGAGGCATTATAAATATTTTAGCATATCTTCAATATATAATTAAAAGCATGCAGGAGCACACACACATACACAGACACACACACACACACACACACACACACACACACACTGCTCTGTACTAGGTCAGACTGATCCTGGAGCATCTGTAGAAACTCTACTTTAAGAAGATGAATGGGCATGAATCTGAAAAAAATAATCAACATACTGAGTTGCCTCTTAGAGCGTATAAGAAATAAATGAACAAACTGGAATAAAATAAATAAATAAATTCTCATTTATTCGAGGTTGGAATAATATAGAAAGGTGCTCCCTTCACAATGCTTTGCCTTTCTACTCATGAAAGGAGGTTCTCCCTACTTGTTGTTGGCCTATTGGCCAGCCATAGATCACCTGGTCTCTCATGCCTGAGTGGTGATCAGGAAAACGAAGTGTTTTGCGTCTAAGCCTTATTGTGGAGGAAAGCAAGGGGCAAGGCATGGAGCTTAGGTGGTGAGACAGCCAATCTGAACTTTGAACTATTTTCCTTCCATAGAAACTCAGAAATACCCAGCACCGATTCAGTCTCAGAAGATTGTTAACAAGTGATTGCGTTTACATTTATCCAAATTGGTTGGTTTACTTTAAAATGTAATCTAGAATGAAGGTGAAAACACTGATCAATGCAAATGGGAAGTTCGGTTTGCTGCAAAACAGTTCTAAAGAAAACACTTAAATTATTGAATAAGGTCTATGATGCTTGTTTAAGAATATACAAAAGCAGACAGCTGCCTTACAAGCTATAAATACTTTAAGAAACAAAATCAATCTGTTCTCTTTCAGAAATGCCTTGATTTGTCTTAATCGTTCTTAAATGGCGATGCCCCTAGTTCAACCTATACATAAATCATGATTGTACAAAGGTCATTGGATGGCACGTCATGTCATTACCAGTGATAAGAGGACTATCAATATTTTCAGAACTCAACACCACAGCAGACAGTAAAAGAGCTTAAAGGTTTACTCAGCCTCAGTGACAACTCAACGTGTTTATATATGTAAGGTGTTTAGAATAGTGCTTTGCACACTTGCGAAATGTTACCCCTTGTGATTTTTCTTATTTTCTTGAAGTAGGCAATGCTTTTGATTAATATATGTGTGTATACATATGTGTGTGTGTAAATACATATATACGTTTATATATATACACATATATTTACATATATACATATATATAAACAGAGGGTATGAAAAACAAAAAAGCTATTTCAAAGCAAATATACTCAAGAAAAACAAAGAGAAAATATGTCCATTATATAACTTTAAACAAGGGGAAATTATGTATTCAGCAAATTGGAATGGGATATTTTTAAGATGAGATAGAGTTATGAAATTTCAATCACAATTAGCAAAGCATTTATGACACATTTTTATGAGGGAATTAAATCAAACAACACAAAATCCCAGGCCAAAAATATTGTTTGCTTCCACATAAAATAATATAAAATGCAAAGAATCAAAGTAACATGCTGAAGCCCTCCTCCTTGACCGTCGAAACTACTTTCTCCACATGAGAAATGATACAAAACTGCATGTAGTTTTGTGTTATTATTTAACCTCTCAATTGGATTGCAACTATGTCCACACAGGGTACCTTCCTCTATTGTTTTACTGAAATATAACTAATTAGGGGAAAAAAGAAATTCATGCTGAAATAACCACAAAAACTAGCATTTGCAGAGCAAGTATCACTTGAAAAAAATAATTTGCCAGGAATTTTATGTGCATAACACAGCAACTCTGTGAGATAGGTATTACATTACCATAATCATGATTGCTATTTTGAGATGAGGAAATTGATGCTTAGAGGGATTAAGTGACTTGTCAGAAATTATCCTGTAAGTGGTAGAGGCTGAGCCACCTACCCACCATGTCTTATAGCTTCAAAGTCAAATCTTTTTATTATTTGACAGTTCTATGAGTCTGCCCCCAAAACTGCAGACTAGACCTCTTAATAGGAATGTCATTTACTATGCATACATAATATTCTTGGCCCTATGCAAGATTCTGGAAAATTGGAGATAAGAAAGAGCCCTCGACTTTCAGATTCTTTTTCTCAAGACTGGGGAAAGCCAAGGAGCTATAAAGACTTTAATTAAGTCCCCTAGCATAGTCAAATAAGGTAGGTATCTATTTAAATTTAGATTAATTAAACTAAATAAAATTAAATTTTAGTTCCTGAGTTGCACTGGCCACATTTCAAATACTCATTAACCACATCGGGCAAGTGGCCACTCATTTGGATGGCACAGATATGAAGCATTTCCATCATCACAGAAAGTTCTATTAGACAGCACTGCTTTGGAGACTTGCCACTCAAAGTGTGCTCTCAGCACTGTTCCTATCACCTAGGAGCTAGTTAGCAATGAAGACCCTCAGGCCCCAGCCTACAGAATCAGAATGGTAGTAAGAGTCCCCAGTGGTTCCTATGTACTTGAAAATCTTAAATGGGGGGCTTTAGAAAAAAGCTTTAAGGGCTTTCTTCAAATAGTCACAACCAAGTAAAATATGTGAATATGTGGGCTAGTGGGTGAGTGAGGGAAACAGTGAGGAACTTTTAGGAAAAACATAAAGAACTTTACATTCAAAATAAACACTAAGAAATCAGTAATAAAGATCATGGCCATCCTATATGGTTGGCCATATGCCAGGCATCACACAGAAACTTTGCCTATATTGAAACAAAACTTTTGGACAGAATTTTTGAACAGCAGTTAATGTGGATAATGCATTCACCTTGTGTTTTGATAAATGCTTGAGAAGAGGGAGTATTCCCACTAAATCTTGAATAGGCATCATAATTTACAAGAAGAATTCACAAAGCTCTGAGTGGGATGCACTTAAGCCATGCTCTTGAATGTCAGCAGGCTTGTGGTCATGTCTCTAAAAATGATATTCTAAGCCAGGTATAAGCGGATGGCTTCCCAGCTCTTAGATGAATGCCAGGAAGGGTAGTTTTAGAGTCCCTTTAGAGTGATACTGGATGATGTCAATATGAAACTGCAGCCATGAAATCTAGAAAAATGCTATGAATTACTAATAAAGATTCAAGAAAGTTCCAGAAAACAGAACTCACTCAGCTGATATCTCTATCACCACTTGATCTCATCTAGAGTTTAGTAGAATCATTTTTGAATTAACAAAGAAAAACAAGTTCTGAAATCTGCCCTTAAGTCTTTTCCATCCACCCAAACTGGTTCAGGTGGACAAAACATTGGTTCACAATTTCTGAGCTAAAAACTGCCACTTAAGGTGGCTTCATAGGAGCACATATTCAGTGTTCACATATTGATATTTATCATTTGGGGGAAATATATTACACAGTAACTTAATTACACCTCTCCCACTAATTCTAGGAAATCCTATTGTTGAATATACTCTGGTTTATCACTCCAGGCAATTTCTAGAAACTCCGAAGGTTGTACCATGCAAAGCGGTGATTTGCAAAATAACCTTGGATACAATAGGCAAGGGAAAAATGTCATGGCCTCTGTAGCTGGTCACCACATGCAATGGTTTCAATGACCTGAAGTCACTTGAGGTTTGTAACAATCCCTTTAGATAATATACATGATCAAGTTTTTCATAACCTTCACAACAATCACAATAAAAGTGTTAGTTTAAATGACCTCACATGCTTTTTATACATCAGGCACATTTAATTATCACTCTTTAATAATATTTGAAACACTATATGTGGGCATTCTTTAGTAGACTACCCTCAAACCAAGACCATGTGAAAAACTCAGGTGACTATTACCTGGTAACACCAATAAAGGCAGCAGCAATACATGGCAGACTAGGGGTTCAAGCATCTGGTTATAAAAGATCTAAATGTAAAGTAATTAAGCATTCAACTTCAATAATTTATTATTTAAGGACTCGCCAGGATCTATATTAATCCATGTCCAAAGAACAGGATTGAAAAAACATGCTTTCCATGCAGATGCACATTCAGACTCAATACAATTACTATGCAAATGTCTAACGACAAAATTAACTTGCTTAGCCAAAACTTTTCCTCGGAGATGAGTAGACAGATTTCTGTAAATTTAGCTGCGTAAGTGTTTCTCGGTTCATGTTATAACCTATTGTTTTTCTACAAAAATGGATATGAATAAGTACCACCATCACTTTCTCCCCCACAAACCAATCAGATTCCTCAGAAACTTTGCTAAAACCCAGCTTTTAAATTGTCTAATGGCATCAGTATCACCCTGCACCTCTATGTAAAAGTCTGACAAGCAATTCACATTTTATTCTTCATGGCTTTTAATTCTATTGAAATAGGATTTGAACATTTCAAAGTGTAGACACCATGTTATTAGAGTATTTTATGGAGTGTCAAGCTCTGTACAAACATTATTTCATTCATCTGCATGATTTCCTTTCTGGAGTGGGTGGTGTGTTATTATTACTCTTGTTAAGTGGGATAAATTAGCTTGGAAGGTCAGCTTCTTTACTTTAAAGGAAGAACTTACTTAAGAGTCCAGAATGACAACCTCAAATGTCTTTCATCCCAGACAGGTAATGTAAATAAGGTAAGCAGGCCAAATTGAATATGCGATAAAAATGGATTTTGAAAAATTGGGAAATATATGCCCCCAAGTCTCTGTTTCATCTAAGGACGTTGATGTAGCATAGTGGTTAAGAGTGAAGGCCTGGGCAATTTCTTGTTGCAAAGAAGTATGCTTTCTCTTGAAATCAGCACATTTAGGCCTATGGGGAAGCTTCCTTTTTCTACCCATTAAGAAAGGGAAACATAATTTGTTGAAAGATAAAGAACCTAGGACATTAGAATTTTATGATTAAGATGGATGAGGAGGGAATGATCACTTACTGAGATGAAATATTCATGTACTCATTCAAAAAATATTGATTGATCATGAGAGATGAAATATACAAACGGACAATGGCCAGACAATATATGACAACAGAATTCTGAGCACCACCTCTGCAGCAACCAGCTGGAAGCCAAACCACAACCTCTACAGCAACTGGCCCCAACAGTCACGATACAGTCAATGACTGCCAGCTTCCCTATTCTTGGCTCCCTCCTTTCAACTCAGAATCAACCGGAGGAAGCAAGATCTGCTTCCCAAACCAACCACATCAGATGTTCACATCTAGTTAGCTCAACTCCAGCTTCCTCATGCCACAGCGTACCTGGAACCTGCTCTTTGTTTCACTCTAAAGGTTTCCTATCTTTCTGTGTTCCTTTAAGTCTGTGCCAAATGCAACTGATAGTGGTTGATTCTCTTGCAAACTCTAAATAAATCACCTCTGTTCTTGTTCATGTGATCTTCATTTATTTTCACAAGCATATTTAAAAATAACTTTATAAAGTGATCTGGTAAGAGCACAGAGAGGGAAATTCCACAGAGGGTAAAGGCAATGAGACTTGTGCAGGAGACAGCATGCCAGGAGTAGTAAAGGTGGCTGAGGGTGCCTGGAAGGCAAGATGGTGTGTACGTGTGTGTGTGTGTGTGTGTGTGTGTGTGTGTGCGCGCACACATTAGGGGTATAAGTAGGAGATGACTTTGAATAAAGAGACCAGGAATATCATGCAGTTCATTACTTGACAAACTTGGAATTCTCTATCCTAGTAATGGGCAATAATAAAAATAATTAAATAGACGACTGATTAAAATAAGATTTTAATAGGATTGAACTTGGATTTTCTGAAGTGTTACTCTAGCAGTGTGATGGAAGCTGGATGGAAGGTGGGCAATTTAGGAAATCGTTGCTGCAGGCCTAAACATTGGCAGTGGGGAGAGAAGTGAGGACAAAATAAGGAGATGAGAAAGATGTTAAGGACACACAACTGGCATTACGCTGGGTGAAGACAAGCAATGAACTGAGAGTCACTCTGGGTTTGTGGGTGGCATTGTTCATGGAATAACAATAATGAATGATGACTGGTAAGTGGTGGAGGTGGGACAGGAGGCCAAGATGACCCCTGCAAAGCTCATGTTACTCCCATTTGTATGCACCATGTCCCAGGTAGAGAGGGGACAGTGCTTCACACTTGAACTTGCTTCCAGCTGAGTCTCTTACACTTACAAAAAATAGGTGGCCTCATTAGGTAGCCCTTTTGCAGGTGGCATATAAAAATATGTTATCATATAAAAGTGCAGTTGGTTAAAAAATATAACTACCTCTAGAGAAGTCCATGTAAGATGATTTTGGTTAAAATGTGACTGACATGAAGAAATTTGCAGTAGACTCTTTATGTCCCAATCCAAAATTCATATGTTGAAATCCTAACCCCCAAGGTGATGATGTTCAGACATGGAGCCTTGGGGAAGTCATGAGGTCCTGAGGGTGATGCCCTCCCTCCTGAATGGCATTAGTGCCCTTATAAAAGAGGTCCCAGGGAGCTCTCTGGCCACTTCTCCCATGTGAGTTACAGTGAGAAGAAGGCTATCTGTGAGGTAGTGGGCTCTCACCAGACACCAAATCTGCCAGCACCTTGATCTTGGACTTCTCAGCCTCTAGAACTATGAGAAATTAATTTCTGATGTTAAAAATCTACCCAGTTTATGGTGTTTTGTTAAATCAGCCCAGGCTAAAGTGAAGGTAAAATGATTTTTGTTTCCTTTTTTATATGTGCTAAATCTATATTCTGTACATCTTAATTTTATATTGAAATTTATTTATTTTTCTCATAAAACTTGTGTTTATTAAAAGCAGGAAATACACCCTTTAAAAGACCAACCTATTTCTTTACTGCTACTCTGCAATGTGTAAAGACAAAAAAGAAAAAAAATTCCCAAAAACCAGTGCTACTAAACAAACTAACAATTATTTCACTTCTCAATGAAAAATAAAATACTCACCCCAAACTTTTCACTCGCAATTCACAGCAAAGATCGGAATTTACTTAACACTGCTGGGTACAAGCACATTCACCATTTTTTGCTCATGCCTATATCATCTCTCCTGTAACAAGCTTTTGGAGGGCAGGTCATTCTTCAAGACACTATGTAAGGACAAATACTAAAGAATTTTTCTTAGTCGTTGTATGCTAAAATAGTAGTGTGGTGAGACCTACAGCAAAATCTTATTATTTAAAAAATAATCACTGTGATAGCATGCTAAGTTATATGAGATCATTCATAATATGTTCCCCTTGGCTAATTTGAAACCAAATCTTTGATTTTCTCTGTATCAAGCATCCAAGCAAGATCAGTCATTGATTAAACCAGAACACGTATTCCTATAATTTACTGCATGGTTTTGATTATGATGCGAAAGCTTTGATTTTGCTGTACACATCATTTTGATTACTGCCCCTGCCTGATTACCGTCCTTGAACACAGATGGGAATTAATACTCAGCACAAAGATAGGAGCCTATGGAGGATATAGGAAATCTGCGTAAGCATCCATTTGTGTGACGCTGGGGAGTGAGTGGCTACAAAAGGATAAAGTTGGTCATGGCCACATCCTCCTCACATTCTCCCAACCATGTGCTCACACAGCCACAGAACTAAAAAAGACTACTCTCAGATAATCCCAACCAAAGTCTACTAAGAGGTGGGTGCAGCACACTTAGAAGAGGAAGAATACTTAACATGGTGAAACCCTGTCTCTACTAAAAATACAAAAAATTAGCCGGGCGTGGTGGCGGGTGCCGGTAGTCCCAGCTACTCGGGAGGCTGAGGCAGGAGAATGGCGTGAACCCAGGAGGCGGAGCTTGCAGTGAGCCGAGATTGCAAGACTGCACTCTAGCCTGGGTGACAGAGCGAGACTCCGTCTCCAAAAAAAAAAAAAAAAAAAAAAAAAGAGGAAGAATACTTGTAATAATAATTGTTATATATATCTCATTTAATGGTATAGCAATTACCTTCCAGATACTTCCAATTGACCAGTATTTTTTTTTTTTTTTTGTGATGGAGTTTCTCCCCTGTTGCCCAGGCTGGAGTGCAATGGCACAATCTCGGCTCATCGCAACCTCCACCTCCCAGGTTCAAGCCATTCTCATCCCTCAGCCTCCCAAGTAGCTGGGATTACAGGTGTGTGCCACCACGCCCAGCTAATTTTGTATTTTTAGTAGAGACGGTGTTCCTCCATGTTGGTCAGGCTTGTCTTGAACTCCTGACCTTGATCTGCCCACCTCGGCTTCCCAAAGTGCTAGGATTACAGATGTGAGCCACCATGCCCGGCCAACTAGTACTCATTTTAACAAAGTTCTTGATTCCTCTTCCCCAGGTTTCACCCATTCATTCATTCATTCATCCATCCTTATATTCAAGAAATATGGATCACCTGTTGTATACCAGACCACGTTCAAGACATGTGAACTAAAAAGCAGTGAACAAAACAGATAAAAATGCATGAAATATACATTTTAGAAGAAAATAAAATTGGTAAGTAAAATATATAATATGTTAGATGGGGATAAATACTATAGAGAAAAGAAAGGCATGACAGGGAAACAGAGAAACAATGCAATTTTTAAAAGGCTGCCCAGGGAAGGTCTGAATCAGAAGGTGACATTTAGGAAAGACATGCAAGACGGGAGAGAGTGAGCCACACTGGTGTCTGCAGAATAGCATTACAGACGTAAGAGTGGCAGTCTCCACAAAAACACCATCACTCACTCGGATGCTCAGCCCAATAACCAGTGAGTCATCCTGACTCGTTTCTTTCCATTCGTCATCCAATCCATTACCAAATTCAGTCAGCTTCATCTCCAAAATGTATCCCAACCACTTCTCACCAACTCCACTAGGGGCTCCTGTTGTCTACCTAACTGCTCTCAAGACCATGGTCTCTGGCCCAGAGTCAATTCCCCACATAGCAGCCAGTTTGATCTTTTAAAAACACATGTCATTTTACTCCTTGAAGCACATGCTTCAAAGACAGCCATCTCCCTTGGCATCAAGTCCTGACTCCTCATCATGGCAAAGGTGTCCTGGATCCTGGCTACTTCTCCAAGGCATTTCCCAGCACTGCCTCCCATCACTGACTCTGCTGCAGTCACATGCCTGGGACATTTCAGCCTCAGAGCCTGTATTATTAGTGAGCTCGGGCTGCCATAACAAAACACCACAGACTGGATGGCTTAAACAACAGGAATTTATTTCCTCACAATTCTGGAGGTGAGAAGACCAAGACCAAGGTGCCTTCAGGGGTGGTTACTGGTGAGGCCTCCCTTCCTGACGTGTAGACGGCCACCTTCCCCTGTCTCCTCACATGGCCTTTCCTCTGTGTGTGCACAGAGTGAGTGAGCTCTGATGTCTTCCTCTTCTTAAAAGGACATCAGTCCATGGGATCAGAGCCCACCCTTATGACCTCATTTAACCTTAATTACTTCTTTAGAGGCCTTATTTTCAAATACAGTTACACTGTGGGTGAGGGCTTCAGCACATGCCTTTTAGAGGGATACAACTTAGTCCATAACAGAGGTTTTGTATATGCTCTTCCATCTGCCTGAAATACTCTTCTTCCAGATTTCTACATGGTTTATCCCTTTATTTCATGCAGGTAAGATGCTTTCCTTGAACACCCTCTGCAATATCACTACTCTCACTCTGTTCCTCTCTCTCTCTCCCCTTACCCTTTGCTATTCTTCCAGCCACCAAACTCTTTCTGATATTATATTATGTAGTTAATTGTTTATTTACAGTCTGAATTCAAGGAGGCAAGGACTTGTTTCTCTTTTACATCCCCAGGCCCTAGAATAGTAGCCCACATATAGCAAGTGTTCAGTCCACATTCATTGAATGAAAATTCTCACAATAATTCTACCAAGTAGGTACTATTAGCCCCATCATAGGAAACTGAGAATATCGAGGACCATAGAAGTTAAATAACTTGACTTGGCTTACTCAGTCAGACTCAGGATTTAAATCCAAGTCTATTTACCTCCAAAGTGAATACATGGTCCATCTGTTATCATCTCTATCCTTCACAACAGTTCTGTGAGGTGGCTGCAGGAGATACTGTTATTGCTCACCTTCCACTGGAACCCATGGGACACTTTGGTGATATGAGGAGGAGAACTCTGAGACTCATGGCCGGGGGCCTCTTGCCTAAGTAGTGCAGTGAAAGAGTAGTTTTTGGAATGAGCATGTTAGGAAGGATGCGATGCCAGAAACAAAGTTACAATTCCAAAGTTGAGTTATCACATTCACAAAGAAGTAGATAAGGAGAAGAAACCATGATGCAAAGTCAGGCAGGGTTCAAAGAGAACTGATTTGTACCTACGTTTAAAATAAATAGAGGAGAAATTCTCATAGCTGGAATTCTGGCATCCATGTCAGCTGGTGTACTCAGGGACATTCAACCAGGCAAGCAAACATGGTGTTGTTGATGATGAATCATTATAATGCCAACGTACTTTCCATCTTGCACACTCTACTCACAATCCCTCCCAAAGTCCTACAGTTGTTTACTCACAGTGTTCCTACCAGAATATCTTTCCTCCAATGTATTCATCTGGTTAAATCCTATTCATCCTTCAAAATCCCAAATCAAATATCATTTCTTCTCTTTGGCTTTTTCTGTACTCATCTCTTTGGACAGAATCAAATGCTTCTTTTGCAGGGATCACTGAGCGCTATTAATAGAACCTTTCTGTACAACCTGGCTCTATTCTAGCACACAAATCATTATTTGTTTTAGCTCACTCTCTCTTCAGTGATGTTCTTCAAAAACAGCACCTACATGTTATTCATCTTTCATCTCCAGCACAAAAGCATATGCCTAGCACTTTGGAGAAAAACAATAAATGTTTGAAAATTGAACTACAATTTTCATAGGAAGACCTTGATGACAATTAACTAATGGCAGAGCTAAGTTTTCTCCTCAAAATCTCAGTGCTTTTCCAGTAGACCATGTTGCATCTACTTGAATCATTTCACCATATATTCTCACATGGCTAAAAAATTCCTGGGAGTGTCCTGATCACCTTTCTTTTGAACTTTTGGTTTTAGCAAAAAGGTAAGAGGCTGAATAAAAATTAAAATTGAAAAAAAGTTAAAAGGAATAATCTCTTCCTATGAGAAAATGCTTATTTCTTAGCAGAGGCATTGGAACAGAGAATTAAAAATGAAAATGGAATGATGCCTTGCAAATTGAAGCTCATCTGAGATACAGTTGTTTCATAAATATTAGAAATTTTTAAAAACATTCAGAATCAACATTGTTTCAAATTTTCCTCACAAATCTCTCAGCTATTTTCATTTTAAAAATAGGAAAGAATTCCCTAACTGGGTTACAGACAACTGTGCAATGAATGTCAAAACTAAAATAATTTCCTCAAAGATCTATACTACAGGTTTTTTTTAGATGAGTGAAATAAAGAAGGAAAGCAAGAAATAAGGAGGAAAAAAGGAAGAGAGGGAAGAAAGAAGAAGAGGGAGATGGAAGAAAGAAGAAGAGGGAGATGGAAGAAAGAAGGGAGGAAGGAATGAACAAAGGAAGAAAAGAATGAAGGAAAATAGAGGCAAATGAAAAGAGAAAGAGAGTCCTAGGAGGGGAGGAAAAAGGAGGAAACGAAGGGATGAAGGAAGGAAACAGCTCATAAGAGGTTTAAAATACTTACCTGAAGAAGGCAATCTGGGCCGGGTGCAGTGGCTCACACCCGTAATCCCAGCACTTTGGGAGGCCGAGGTGGGTGGGTCACTTGAGGTCAAGAGTTTGAGACCAGCCTGTCCAACATGGTGAAACCCCATACCTACTAAAAATACAAAAAAATTAGCTGGGTGTGGTGACGCCCACCTGTGGTCCCAGCTACTCAGTAGGCGGAGGCATGAGAATCGCTTGAACCCAGGAGGCAGAGGTTGCAGTGAGCCAAGATCGTGCCACTGCACTTCAGCCTGGGTGACAGAGTGAGACTCTGTCTCAAAAAATAAAAAATAAAGAAGGCAATCTGAAAAGGATTCACAGGATGAGTCAAAAATAAATCTATTTACCATTTTTATCCAAATGCAAATTGTTATTTTTTCCTTTGAACTAACTCTTTTGTGTTTCTTATTGCAAGGACAGAGTAAATTTTTAATGGGAAAATAACTTTGTGACATGGACATATATAGGCATAGCTGAATATGGAAGTGATGAATCAATACCGTGTGGCTGAAAAATGAAAAATGTCTTATAATCCATGAAAAACAAATGTACAATCTATATATTATTGTAAAGATTTAGCATTCACCCCACTACTGTTATAGTTCTTGAACATGGACAGCAGTTAGAATCTTGCCTTATTTTGCCAATTTGTGCATATTTTTCACTGGTACTGCATACAAATTTGCCAAATGTTTTCATCAGGTACAAGCCTACTTTTTACAACTTAACAGTAAATTGAAGAAATCCAGTGTGGAGAATTGTACTATTTGGTGTGTTTTCTAACTCTACAGTACTTTCACAAAAATTTTGTTAACTGTCCAGGGTAACATTAGCTTCTAGGAACCAGTTCTTCTTAGCCTAATCTTACTGAGTTTGTCATATGTAATAAATGGAGGATGGTAGAACCACCCAAATAAAATCTACAAAGTATACAATCACCGATAGATGCCTCGCTAAGTACAGAGTCCTTAAGAAGAGATCATGCTTTCATTACAAGGTTATAGAAAAATATATTACTTACTCCAGTACTCTGCTTGAAGCACTGATCAAAGCTACCTGGATGTTTGAGGAGCAGAGATTGAAAAAAATCAGAGACAAGAAGAAAACAGCAGTACAATGGTAGAAATCTCACGTGAGAATTGTGGGTAAATCCACATTCCAGCACTGCCCTGTTCTTATAAACAAAATGTTACCTAAGAATGATCCAACTGATGGATGTCTCTACCTATTCACTAATTTCAGAGACTGACAAAAAAAAAAATGAAAGAAAAATTTATGTGATGGCTTTGTTCATTCAATAAAACTTTCCCTATATCAATGTAGTTGTTATACTCCATTCAAATTAAATATCAGGTATTGAAATAGATGAAAAGAGACTTCGTGTGAAATTTTTCAAGAGAAATGAGAATTTAATCATTTCACCTGCAGTCTGAGACTTATCTAAGACCACAAAGGAAATTAATAGCAGAGCACTTCCAGGAGTAGGATGGGAGGAAGCCTAGGAAAAATGATCTTGAAATAGTCATGCTAAATCATTAGGCTTTCTGAAGACTTCAACGGGGTCATGCTAATGTGTGGTAGAGATTTCTCTTATTTTATTGAATAATTGAATTCCAAAGAACAAATTTCAATATACTACCATTAGCTTCTATTATATAGTTAGAGATTTAATGTCACAGAAATATTCCCAAATACGCCTAGGTTTTATGACCATCAACCCCATGGTATGATGGACATTATAGTCCATTAGTAAGATTATGCCTGTAACTACATAGCAGTAACGTGTGTGTTCTTTAAAAAATCTTACTTTGACTCCTCCCCAAAACAGCACTTTGGTCAAGGACTTGAGGGCAGGAAGTTTATTTGGGAGCTGATCCTAGGATGCAGAAATGAGGAGCATAGACAATGAGATAGGGAAGGAAGATGTATTAGAAGAACGCAGGAATGAGTTTCTTACCACTGTGTATTGAGTGGGGGGCTCACCCCTGTTAGGGACACTCTAAGAAACGATTGTAGTATGTGCCCCGGAAGTGTTCTCCTTCGGGACAATGAGGGTCGGAGTTTACCCGGAAACCATCCCCATCATTCCACTGGTTGAGGGCTGTCCTTAGGTAGAGTATATTATTCTCTCTTAATTCTGAGTTGCACCTGCCTGCTGAACGGTCTTTCAGATTCTCTTCCCTCTCCTTCTTTCCCACATGCACTTGAAGGAAGCGGGACACTAGCGATAGGCAATTAACTGTCTACAGCACTTGTGCTGAAATCCAGAGTGCCAAAGAAATGTGGTGTGATGAATCACCAGCGTCTGCTACAGAGAAGCAGGATGCTATGGTAGCCAAGAGTGTTTAGTGTCAGCTTCACGACACTGCTTCAGAATATCTACAATCCTCAGTTACCTCCTCCATAAGATGTTGACAATAATAGAATCTATGATGCATATAAAATGCTTGATATAGGACCTGGTATGTCATAAGCATTCAATAAGTATAAGTTGTTTTTATTTTCTTATCTCTAAACATATATTTTACTACTGGCAATGCTCATGAACACCAAGAAATATATCCAATTTCTGTTAGTTTGAATTTGCATTTAAGAATAAATGATTTCCCTTCTCACTTTAGTTGCCATTTGAAATAGCCAATGGATGAGATATGAAGTATCACATTCACTAGTAGTTTCTGTGATCATGGAATCATAAAATCTCAGGACTAGAAGAGACCTCCAAGTTCATCCTATTCAATAGCCTGTGCATTGCCTTTCAGGAGATGTAATTTCCTTTCTTACCTCAAAGCCATCTGTGTGACCTTAAACTATTGAGGTTGGTTTTTGTGGGATGCAATCCTTTACTTTTTGTCCTCACCACTCATACAAACAGCTAACATCCAGACAGGGAAGAGAAATGCAGTTCCAAAGCTAAAAATGTCCCTTATAAAAAGTATTCAGTAGAAAGGATTCTCCTTTTTCAAAAATGAATTATCCCTGAGATATCACATTGACATTCTCTCCAAGTTTTCTCAGAAAGAACAGATATTGTTATTTCTGTCCCAAAAGGAACCCTGGTGTTGGAAAAAGTTTTTATAAGAAAGGATTTTCACAATCTTGGGCACACTATTTGTCTTCAGTGGCGCCCTAACACAGCAATTATTCTGCCAGCTCAGGCTTCTTCCGCTGCCTTCTAAACATAACACATCTACAGATTTAGTTAAAAGTATATCAGCAATTTTGCCATACAAAGGCTCTGCTCCCATCAAAAACATGGAATGTGCTGAGTATCTACGAAAAGCTATAATTATCAACTGCTAGTGGAAGAAACAGAAAAAGGCACAAGACTGATGTGCGTTTCAGGTTTCCAGAGCCTGCTCAATTAGAGTGAGGATACCTAGCAGAAAGGGCCAAAAGAAAAACACAAATACTGTGAAGTTTCTTTTCCTGCTCAACACATTTTTCATTCTGTTCAAGAAAAGGAAGGTACACCTTTGCAAAGGGATTTGTTCCAGCTAGTAAGCGCCTACTCAACAAACAGTTTCTTGAAGAAATCTGCAAGGCTGGTGACACAGAAGACTATTGTATGACACCCAGTGAGCCTCTGGCAGGCCAAAGCATCTGAACAGGAAAATATATGTAGGATTGTCAATAGCAAGTTTGGACAATGTGTCTCAGGACCTTTGCCAAGGGCCTGATTTGAAAGAGGACAACATGAATGCAAACAAAGGTGGCAGCCATTTTCCTGATATTCTGTCCAACACACACATAGAGTCTGAAATTGTAGAGTGCAAAGGGAAATTAAGGGTCATGTTGTGACCTTTTCCCCTGTCCTTGCCCTCCCCCACTTCAGCCCTTATTGCAGGAGTTCCTGCTAAAATCATATTCCGCATAGTGATTATCCAGCCTTTGTTGACTAATGGCTCAAAAGGACATTGCTTATCAGCCTATTTCCTTGTTGGACAGCTCTAGGAGTTAGAAAGGTATTTCTGCTACTGGACCAAATTATATTCCTCTGTACCTTTCACTGAGAGTCTCCTGCCTTCCTAGAACAATTTTCTCTCCTCTTGGACAATCTTTCACATTTTGAAAGCGGCCTACTCTATCCCTCAGTATGTTTGTCCATAAACTGAATTGTTCCCAGTTCCCTAGACTGTTACTCACAACATGTGGTTTCCAGACCAATTACACACTGGTAATTATTAGTAGTATTCTAGGTATTGTCTGGAGAGTTTTTGGAATGTGTCAGGCATCACTTCATGTACATTCACTTAATGAGTATTCCCATGGTCTTAGGTCTCCCATTTCAGAGATGAGCAAAAGATATGCTGCTTGTCCAAATTTCACAGCTAGCACCGGAGGAAGATGTGAGTAAAACCCAGGCCCCTAAATCTAGCTCTTAAAACCCTGAGCTTGAAACTAGTTGCCACACAGCTCTCTTGGTTGTTTACCTGTTTATCATAGTGCCCCTAAGTGGCAGCATGTCACCATATGTGGTCTGACTGTTGCAGGGTATAGCTGGCCTTTGACTTCATTTAATGATGTTCAAATATCATTAATATTTCTAAACAGCCAAATCACCATGTTGCAAAGCAAATCACTCAGTATATGTATATTTATACACACATACTTAAGATTTGCATGCAATTTCAGAATTTCTATTCTACGTATCTAGAATTCCAGATCACCGAGTCCTCTTTGAACCTTGATGATATTATTCAGTAAACTAATTATATTTCCAAATTGTGCATCAAGTAAAATTAGAAGATAACATCTTCCATGATGACTTAATAGAATTCCTTAATAAGAACAATTTATCAGAAAGAAAGAAAAAAAAGTAAGTCATCAGAAGCACCCATTTATTGAGGATGACTGTACAAAGAGCTACTAATCTGAGTAGTACACTAAACGGTCTCCTTCTACTAATTTTTAATACTCACCTTGATTTTTCCTATGTGTTCCTAACCTTAGGCTTAAAAATCAGGTATTGGTCTGAGACGATTGGGTTTTCGAAATATACAATTGTCATCTGCAAACAGGGACGATTTGACTCCCTCTTTTCCTAATTGAATACCCTTTATTTCTTTCTCCTGCCTGATAGCCCTGGCCAGAACTTCCAACACTATGTTGAATAGGAGTGGTGAGAGAGGGCATCCCTGTCTTGTGCCAGTTTTCAAAGGGAATGCTTTCAGTTTTTGCCCATTCAGTATGATATTGGCTGTGGGTTTGTCATAAATAGCTCTTATTATTTTGAGATACATCCCATCAATACCTAATTTATTGAGAGTTTTTAAAACAAAGGGTTGTTGAATTGTGTCAAAGGGCTTTTCTGCATCTATTGAGATAGTCATGTGGTTTTTGTCTTTGGTTCTGTTTATATGCTGGATTACGTTTATTGATTTGCATATGTTGAACCAGCCTTGCATCCCAGGGATGAAGCCCACTTGATCATGGTGTATAAGCTTTTTGATGTGCTGCTGGATTCGGTTTGCCAGCATTTTATTGAGGATTTTTGCATCGATGTTCATCAGGGATAGTGGTCTAAAATTCTCTTTTTTTTGCTGTGTCTCTGCCAGGCTTTGGTATCAGGATGATGCTGGCCTCATAAAATGAGTTAGGGAGGATTCCCTCTTTTTCTGTTGATTGGAATAATTTCAGAAGGAATGGGACCAGCTCCTCCTTGTACCTCTGGTAGAATTCGGCTGTGAATCCGTCTGGTCCTGGACTTTTTTCGGTAAGCAACTTCAGCAAAGTCTCAGGATACAAAATCAACGTGCAAAAATCACAAGCATTCTTATACACCAATAACAGACAAACAGAGAGCCAAATCATGAGTGAACTCCCATTCACAATTGCTTCAAAGAGAATAAAATACCTAGGAATCCAACTTACAAGGGATGTGAAGGACCTCTTCAAGGAGAACTAGAAACCACTGCTCAACGAAATAAAAGAGGACACAAACAAATGGAAGAACATTCCATGCTCATGGATAGGAAGAATCAATACCATGAAAATGGCCATACTGCTCAAGGTAATTTATAGATTCAATGCCATCCCCATAAAGCTACCAATGACTTTCTTCACAGAATTGGAAAAAACTACTTTAAAGTTCATATGGAACCAAAAAAGAGCCCGCATTGCCAAGTCAATCCTAAGTCAAAAGAACAAAGCTGGAGGCATCATGCTACCTGACTTCAAACTATACTACAAGGCTACAGTAACCAAAACAGCATGGTACTGGTACCAAAACAGAGATATAGACCAATGGAACAGAACAGAGCCCTCAGAAATAATACCACACATTTACAACCATCTGATCTTTGACAAACCTGACAAAAACAAGAAATGGGGAAAAGATTCCCTATTTAATAAACGGTGCTGGGAAAACCTGCTAGCCATATGTAGACAGCTGAAACTGGATCCCTTCCTTACAACTTATACAAAAATCAATTCAAGATGGATCAAAGACTTAAATGTCAGACCTAAAACCATAAAAACCCTAGAAGAAAACCTAGGCAATACCATTTAGGACATAGGCATGGGCAAGGACTTCATGTCTAAAACACCAAAAGCAATGGCAACAAAAGCCAAAATTGACAAATGGGATCTAATTAAACTAAAGAACTTCTGCACAGCAACAGAAACTATCATCAGAGTGAACAGACAACCTACAGAATGGGAGAAAATTTTTGCAATCTACTTATCTGACAAAGGGCTAATATCCAGAATCTACAAAGAACTCAAACAAATTTACAAGAAAAAAAAAAACCTCATCAAAAAGTAGGCAAAGGATATAAACAGACACTTCTCAAAAGAAGACATTTATGCAGCCAACAGACACATGAAAAAATGCTCATCATCACTGGCCATCAGAGAAATGCAAATCAAAACCACAATGAGATACCATCTCACACTAGTTAGAATGGTGATCATTAAAAAGTCAGGAAACAACAGGTACTGGAGAGGATGTGGAGAAACAGGAACACTTTTACATTGTTGGTGGGACTGTAAACTAGTTCAACCATTGTGGAAGACAGTGTGGCTATTCCTCAAGGATCTAGAACTAGAAATACCATTTGACCCAGGCATCCCATTACTGGGTATATACCCAAAGGACTATAAATCATGCTGCTATAAAGACACATGCACACGTATGTTTATTGCGGCACTATTCACAATTGCAAAGACTTGGAACCAACCCAAATGTCCAACAATGATAGACTGGATTAAGAAAATGTGGCACATATACACCATGGAATACTATGCAGCCATAAAAAAGGATGAGTTCATGTCCTTTGTAGGGACATGGATGAAGCTATGGTTTCTAGAAACCATCATTGTCAGCAAACTATCGCAAGGACAAAAAACCAAACACTGCATGTTCTCACTCATAGGTGGGAATTGAACAATGAGAAAACTTGGAGACAGGGTGGGGAACATCACACACCGCGGCCTGTCATGTGGTGGGGGGAGGTGGGAGGGATAGCATTAGGGGATATACCTAATGTAAATGACGAGTTAATGGGTGCAGCACACCAACATGGCACATGTATACATATGTAACAAACCTGCACATTGTGCACATGTACCCTAGAACTTAAAGTACAAAAAAAAAATCAGGTATTGGTCAAGATCTCAGTAAAGAGACAAATTCAAATCAGATAAATTAAGTGAAGAGACTTTAATGAGGAAAAAAGTCGGAGGTGTAAGCAGGCTGGAAGAACCAACAAAAGAAGTTGGTAAACCCAGGAAATAGCCACTGTGGGGTGCTATTGTGACCCCTGGACTGGAAGAATTGGGGTAGGGGTGGAAGAAGGGGTTGTGATAGAAATAGAATTATTGTAACTGGTAAGAGCTGGAACCATGAAAGAGAGGTTGCCTGTTGGGAGCTGTAGTTAGGGAGATATTCAGCCATTGCCAGAAATGTGATGCAGAAGCAGAAGGGAATAGGGAATAACCAAATAACCATTTCATGCTGCTCTTCTTCTGCCCTCCAATAGCGTGACAGCACCTCCCACTGGTGAAACTCAGACTGAAGTCAGTTGCTCAGGGAGCCAGAATAATGCAGCTTTCTGGGGTAAGGAGTAGGAAAGAAAACCCTGGAGATCCAAAAGATAGCAGATGGAGTGAAGTTGGGGCACCAAACAGAAAACTAAGCCTAATGGTCAATAGGTTTCCCTGCTCATTTCTTTTCCACACTGGTAAAAGTTATTTTTAACTTGATATTGAATAGCATACTCTTCCATTACCTTATAAAAAGCAGGGCCTCACCCTACAGGATGGATGGTCTTCCACATCGGCCAATAATTTTACATTTGAGAAAAACAGAGCCCATGGTTAGGACCCACAGTCAACTGCCAGTTGCATTAAAACTCACGAGATGGCCAGGTGCTGTGGCTCACGCCTGTAATCCCAGCACTTCAGGAGGCCAAGGCGGGCAGATCACGAGGTCAGGAGTTCAAGACCAGTCTGACCAATATGGTGAAACCCCATCTCTACTAAAAATACAAAAATATTAGCTGGGTGTGGTGACGCACACCTGTGGTCCCAGCTACTCGAGAAGGTGAGGCAGGAGAATCGCTTGAACCCAGGATGCAGATATTGCAGTGAGCTGAGATCGTGCCACTGCACTCCAGCCTGGGCAACAGGACGAGACTCCATCTCAAAAAAAAAAACAAAAAAAAAAACAAGAAACTCACAAGATAATTTTATAATCAAAGCATTAAATGCAATTTTTCTACTTTCCTGAAATCTGGGCTTTGCTAAGTCTTTCCAAGGTGTGCTACTATCCAAGGGAATAACAAAGACTTGGTAGCCATTCCATCATTATTAGGATTTTCCCAGCATGCTTGGTTTTCATATTTGGCTGTTTTACTAGTTTCAATGTCATGGCAAGGTACTTTAATCTCCTGAGTTTAATTAATAAAACAGAAAAGATTTGAATAGATAATATTATACATTTTGATAACTCAAGAAATGTCCATCTGAATTACCTTCAAAAGATGATAATTTTGGACTGGGATTTCACTAACCCTTTGTTACAGATATTCATTGGACTGAGCTTTAAATTAAGAAAAAATGGGACCTTCTCAAAAACATAATGTTTGTTATTGCCTCAGTATGTCCCCTCTAAAATTCAGATGCTGAAACTTAATGGCCATTGTGATAGTATTAAGAGGTAGAACCTTTAAGAGCTGATTAGGTTATGAGGGCTCCTCTCTCAAAGATGAGATTAAGGCCTTTATAAAAGAGGCTTCATACAGGGTTTGAGCCCACATCCCACCATGCCAGGACAAAGTGTTCCCTCCTCTAGAGGAACCATCTTGGAAGCAGAGAGCCACCCTCACAGACAACGAAACCTGCCGGCCCCTTGAACATCTCAGTATTCAGAACTGTGAGAAAATAAATTCCTGTTCTTTAGAAATTATCATCTCATGTATTCTGCTGTAGCAGTACAAATGGACTAAGATAACCAAGAAGTAAAAATTAAGTATTTAAGACATATTTTTTCTAGAAAATTCTCAAAATAAAAATAAGGAAAAAACTACAGAATCATTGAGCCATGTCTTGAAAACACATGCACACATTAACAAATGGAATATATTCAATTATTTTATTTCTATATTCTAGATTCAATCATATTCAGTGTGTCTTCTGCGTATGTGTGTGTGTTTTAAATCTGAAGTCAGAACTAGAACAAAGTATGTTTCTTGAAAATGGATTCCTTGTTTTCTATATTTATTTATCTTGATACAATGCTTCTTTGAATTAACTATGTAACAGTTATAAGGTGCTTTATTGCTGCTTAGCTAATCCTCCTGGATTGATATTTAAAAGGATTTAAAATTTTTTTCAGATATAAAGAGTTTCATGATCATCCTTCCCTAAGACAATCTCAAGAGAATGCTGCCCTCTCCCCCTCCTCTATCTGCCCATAGGAATTTTTCTGTTAAAAGAGTGATCAATATCTGAGAGATCGTCTGTTATGGTCGGTCACTGCTTATGTTTCACACCTGCCTGGTTAATTGGTAGGCAAACAGTGTTTCATTCAGTCCCTAGCGTTCATGCAAAACCGTCTGTATTTAGATAAACTTTCAGTCACTTAGCAAACCTCCAAAATAAAGATTATTTATTATTTCTTATTGATATAAATTGGAATTACAACGATCAGATTTCTTACTTTGTGATCAGATTATCTTTGCAACTAGTAAATTGCAAGGTGTCAAAGTTCTTGACTGCAAAATGCACTCAAAGCAATTTTCTCTTGAAGCAAATCACTCCACCTTTAGAAAATTCATACCAAATTCAGAAAATCTTTGGCTGACAGTCTGGTATCAAGCTCTTCTGTAAGTATCCTATTATGGTCGGTAAGTGTAAAAATTGATATTTTCACATAGATTTCAACTATAATTCTGTAGAGCTAACCATAGATGCCTAATGCCAATGAATAAACAATGTTACTACTTTACTTGGAATATTACTGGTTAGAAACAACGATTTAATTCTAATTGTAGATATCAATAATAATTGGAACATTGTCAAGAAATGTGGCCACGTATTTGTGGGTATATACTGGATTTCTTGTAATGCTACCTTTTTCAAAAGATCACTCCGTTGAATGACGAGAGTAAAGTTTCTTGAATTTTTTCCACCTCAAGTCCCTCTGCTGTAAAATGGTGAGGCTGGGTTAATTTCTCTTTTTAATTTAATTTCTTAAATTGACACATAATAATTGTATATATTCATGGAGTACATAGTGATGTTTCGATCCATATAACATATAGTGATCAGATCACGGTAATTATCATATATATATATATATAAAATCAAAAACATTTATCATTTCTTTGTGTGGGGAACATTAAATATCCTCCTTCTAGCTATCTGATACTATATACCATATGATTGTTAACTTTAGTCTTCCTGCAAAGCTATACAATACTAGAATTTATTCCTCCTATCTAGCTATAATTTTGTATCCTTTAACAAGTCTCTCCCTAACCCTCCCTTCCCCCAACCCTTCCAAAGTGGTTTAATTGCTTTTCTAGCCATAATATACAAACTTTCTGGATATATGGAAACATGGGTAAGCCCTGGGAAGACTGAATTGTCTGGATCCATAGACAAGAACTGGACTGGTTAAAAGGTGTTTGATGGAATAATATGTAACAATCAATTCCTGGAGAAAGTCCAGGTGCCACAGGGAATCACTGGGGACCCATTTGACCTGCTTCCCTTCTTTCTTCAATGTTCTAGCTGTAACAGTCAAGTCATTTTTACAGACAATAAAAACATGACTAAAGTCCAAATAAAATAAATACATCCTTATTTCCCATCACCCATATCAATACTAGCTATGGGAGTCACAAATGTTTGAACCTTTTTTGTCATCAGAATACTTAATAATACTGAAATGATTTTCCAGCCTTAGATATACATTTTTCAGTCATTGATTGCTGGCTTTCAAGGTAAAAGTTGTTTCTGTCCAAACACCACTAGTTTAAATCTTCCCATTTCATGGCGACCTTGAGGTGATCAGCATACATTTCAAATGCCCTTATGAAAGAAGCTCTGAGTATGCATAACTATATTATTCAGGAATCTTCTCATTCCTTTTGTTTAACATTCTTTGAAGCCAACATAATCTTTTGTATAACTGCCTTATGTACCCTTAACAAGATAATATACATGCATCCACATATAAGCCTACAAATCCTAAGATATGATTAATTAAAATAAAATAGAAAATAGAGGTCAGAATAGCTTCAAAAGAGGGCAAGGGATGACTTAGTCAAAGAAAGCTTTTAAAATTTTAAGAACTTTGGTGCACGGTACAAGGCATTTTCTATGCCTATAAAAAGGTCAACGACCTAGAAGAAAAAATAAATGAAAAAAAAATCTAACCAGTGAAAAGAAGGGAAAAAAGCTTAAATCAAGCATAAGGCAGAATGTAGAAAATATAGTAATGAAGATTTAAATTTTATTTACAGACCTGCTGTCCATATGCCACCCAAATATTCCAGTATAATCTATCTAAATATCTAATTACTATGAATCTAAATTTCTAAATACGACACAACTTCAAAGAGCGATAAATGCTTGTTTAGAACATGGTCTAAATAGTACGAGCCATGTAATTCCTCAAGAAAATTTGACACAAATTCCAGCTCCCTTGGATAAGTGTTTGAGTATTTCTGTACCTAAGTTTTTCTTATGAAATAGTAACAGTTTATGTTACCTGTTTTATGGGTCTTAGGAAAAAATACATCCTGCCATCTTTTGAAGGCTTTAAAAAAAGAGGTTTCTTTTTTAGGTATTGTTTGAAATGAGCCAATAAAGAGTATATTCCTGAGTCTAATAAATGCTTCGGTGTGCTAATGCCCTGCTAGATGCCTGGAGGCTTGGCACCTTTACGACAAGTATTTTAGCCACTGACCCTGAATGCTGTGGATGGAAACGCTACAGTAAGTTGTTGGCAATTTGCACTCCATCGACTGTTAAATCATTTGCTCACTCTTGTCAAAATATTTACTGAATCTCCACTCTGTAAAGCCCTAGGGATACACAGGTAGGATAAAGAACTTCACAATGTAGAAAGCTCTAAAGAGCTGCTTAAAATAATTGGAGAGAGTGGTCTTCTAAGATGACCTTACGAGAGCACGTCGCTGACTCTCCTTCCCTCTGAATTCCCTGCCGACAAAGTCAACAACCAAAGAGCAAAGAGGCAGTGACTGAAGGTCATGTGCAAGGCCAGTCATGCTCCATCTCATCACAAAAAAAGCAGAGTGGGTGCCTTGCATCGTCTTGGGGCCAGGTGAAATAACCAGTGGCCACTTTCTGAGGAGATGCTCTTCTTGTGGCCTGGGGTGAGGACAAAGGATTTTGTGGCCCCTTGGGTCAGGAAATGGGGCAAAGACCTGAACCCAATGGTTGCTGTCCATAAGCCATAAAGAGGCATGTCATTCAGCAAAGCTAGGGGGTACTTGGCCAGGAACTGCAGTCGTCTGAATCCTGACGCACCCTAGACATTGTGGCTAAGAGACAACTGTGGCTTGCATTCACAGATACCTGAGAACTTCACTTTCTTATTGGGTTGTAAGAGCCATGTAAGAGTATGTTAGAGATGGTATATGTTTCCCTTTTTCTGATATATCTTGTAACTGTTTTCTCCCAGCCTGTAACTTGTCTTTACCTTTGTCTGCTTTGTCTTTTGCCCATTAGAAGTTTAACAGTGTTAAGCAGATAACCTACCAGTGTTTTACTTTGCTTCTGGGTTTTGCGCTATGTCTAAAAATGTTTTCTCCCACTCTACAGTTATAAAAAGTATATTATGTATATTCTAGCAATTTTGGTTTTCCCTCAATATTTAGGTATGTATATAATATGGAAATTATTTGCTTATATGGTGTGAAGTAGGTTGCCAAAATTACTTTTATATACGGATATTCATTGTTCCAATATCTTTCCTGGAAACACCATTTCACTATTAATTGGAAATGTCATTTATATCAGATGCTTAACTAGCAAAAATAAACATTTATGAAATTATCTACAAATATATAAGATAGAACACACAAAATAAAAATGAAATTCATATATGAAGATATAAATTTTAAAAGTTCTACAAATAATAAAATAAACTATAAGTATATAAAATTCATAAAATAGACTTTTTTTATGTTTCAGGGAGTGATTACCTTATAATGGCATAGTCTGTTTGGACATATATTCTCAGTATCATTTATTGGCAATTTATTTCCCTCTACTTGTCAATCTTTAGAGGCTGCAGTGATATGTATGTGGCCTACTAAGTTTTCAAGGATTTCCCCTCATATCTAATTAGCTACATAATTGGTAATTTTACCTAATACTTCCTTGCTCACTGTCTTGAAGGTTCCCAGAGCCCCAGTAAAAGTGGTATTTTTATATTGAATAGGGAATTTTTCTTTGCCACTCTGGTGCACATTTTTGATAGCCATCTCAGCCCAAAAATGTTCATATAAGTACAAATAATGGTAGAAATAAACACCATACCAGAGAGAACAAATAGATGGTAAAAACAGTAAGATGTCAGTCTACTGTACTGGATGACTAGTTATTTGAGAAATAGTGATTCCACTACTCAGTACTGTAATGGATTTGTGTTCATATATTTGTGTATAGTTTAATAAAACCATTTCTAAAACAATAGTGCTACAATGAAATAGCATTTCATGCATCCATTCTAAATGAGTTATGCTTGTTTGAACACTTTCTAATCTCTTCTACTCCATTGATACAGTTGTCTATTCCTGTACTATTAGGTAATATTTTAGTAAATAGTAGCTTTAGAATATTCTCCTTCTAGCCCAAATTCCCTCTAATCTTGAGATGACTCTAAGTTGGTTTCCTGATTTCCACTCTGAGGAAAATATCTGAGGTTGTCTCAGTAATGGAACGTTTTTATCCATTTTCCTCTTTGAAAATGTAACTCCAGCCTGCATGGTTCTGATAGGCTTATTTTACTCCTGGCTACAGGGGAAGGCGTGCATTCCAGGCCTGGCTGAACAGATCATTAAAATCCATGGTTACGGACCAGGCTCGGTGGCTCATGCCTGTAATCCCGGCACTTTAGGAGGCCAAGGTGGGTGGATCACTTGAGGTTAGGAGTTTGAGACCAGCCTGGCCAATATGGTGAAAGCTCATCTCTACTAAAAATACAAAAATTAGCTGGGTGTGGTGGCACACGCCTGTGATCTCAGCTACTTGGGAGGCTGAAGCAGGAGAATCACTTGAAACCGGGAGGTGGAGGTTGCAGTGAGCAAAGATCGTACCCCTGCACTCCAGCCTGGGCAACAGAGTGAGACTCTGTTTCAGAAAATAATAAATAAATAAATAAATAAAATTCCATGGCTACGGTGGCTAGGTCAAGTGTTGGCACATATTCTATGTTGGTCTAATGAAAGCTACATCAGGGTTTTCACTGGAACAGGTGGAATCAGGGATCCTTCCTGGATTTGTAGTTAAAAGTATGTAAGCCTAGAGCAAAGGGTGGCAATACATGGAGAAAAAATAAATAGACACCAAAACCTATAAAATGAGGAGAGACAGAGAAGAGAGAAAAAAAAGAGGAAAAGAGAAAAAAGAGAGTTTGGTGTTAACAGATTTTTTAAATTAACAATCTCTTCCCACATAGTCACAACATAAAAGGATAAACCTGAAGTGTTTGTTGTCTTGTTTTTTTTTTCTTGAACACAACTTAAGAAGTCCAGATTTTCTGAAGCAGAAATAGTCATTGCTCAAAATAATTAATTTATGTAAACATATGTTCAATATTCTTTTTTTTTTTTTTTTTGACAGGGTCTCACTCTGTCACCCAGACTGGAGTTCGGTGGCGCGATCTCAGTGCAACCTCTGCCTTCCAGGTTAAAGTGATTCTTGATTCTTGTGCCTCAGCCTCTCAAGTAGCAGGGCTAATTAACCATGCCTGGCTAACTTTTTTGTGTTTTTAGTAGAGACAGGTTTCGTCATGGCCAGGCTGGTCTCGAACTCCTGGCCTCAACTGATCCACCTGCCTCAGCCTCCCAAAGTGCTGGGATTACAGGCGTGAGCCACTGTGCCTGGTCATATTCAATATCCTTAATGATGGAACTTCCAAGAGAAGTAGAGAACACACTGTTATTTTCCTTGTGTGGAGAGGAATTTTAGTGTATCTCATCTAGGAATCACCTGGCATCATTACAATCTATCCTTAAAGATGCCTGAAATCTTAGGAGAGTTCATCTTTTCATCTGGGGTCAGTCAAAACCACAATAGTGATATTTCAAATGGTGCTTAGTCACAACTTCCTTGAAAAAATGATCTCTGTCTTTGCAGTATATCTGGTAACGGAAATGGGATATTAACGTCTAAACCCACTCTCCTGTCAATGTCTCATAAGACTGTAACTAAGGGATCAGCCAGATTGGGTTAAAGTCTGGAGGCTTGATTGGGGAATAATCCACTTCCAAGCTCATTCAGGTTGACGGTAGAATTCAATTTCTTGAGCTCTGTGACTGAGGGCTCTGGCTTTTTGTTGGGGCCTTGGATACCAGAGGCTGCTTGCAGTTCCGGAGGCTGTCATATTTCCTTGATATGTAGGCTTCTCCAAAAGAGCCACTAACTTCAGCAAGTCTTCAAGAACAGTCTATTGCCTCCAGAAGGGCCCAGTTCCTTTTTTAAGGGCTTTCACCTAATTAAGTCAGGCTCACCCAGGATAATCTCCCTTTTGATTTACTCAAAATCAACTGACATGACACTTTAATTATAGCTGCAAAATCCCTTCACCTTTGTCATATTCTACCGGGTAGAAGCAAACCTTAGGTTTTGCCCACACTTAATGGGCAGGGCATGGACACCAACGGATGGGATTCTGAAGGCCATCTCAGAATTAGGTCTACCACATCTACACTCCATAGTCTTGTACAGTAAGGATAAATTGTCTTAATGCTTATAGTGTATCTACACAAGAACTAGGCAGTGTTGTGAAGAGTGACACATTCATGCCACTGGGGAGCTTGTAAGTATCACACCAAATTCCTTCTCCAATGGATTAACCTTGTAGCTCTATTCATTTCAATAGATATTCTACTGCAGGCATGTTATACACCATGGACTACAGCTATACAGCATGGTCCCAGCACAATTCCTACAAACTTTTGTTAGAATGTTTGTATGTGTGTGATTGTCTACGTGCATGAGAGGCTGTGTGGTATAGTGAAAAGTGTGTACACTTTGGAGTCCTGAGAGTGTCAGCTTGCATGTGCCCTCCATTAACCAGGCCCTGCCTTAGAAAATTTTAGCTTTATTATCCACGATGTGGGGAAGCCTATTCCTCAACTCCTCCAGTATTAGGGTAAGACAGTGTCATGGATGGAGGTACTGGTTAAGCTCATGAGCTCTAGAGGAGACCTCTATCTAGCTCTTATTAGCTGTGTGACCATAAGCAAATTGCATAACCTCTCTAGACTTCAGTGTTAACTCCTATTTCATAACCTTAGTAATTGTTTCTAGTTCACGGTGTTGAAATACCAGTAGAATGTTTGGTATACAGATATGAATTGCTCAATAAACATTAGTTCTCATATTTCTAATATGTGTAAAATGCCTGGGACAGTAATTGATAGAATAAATACTAATTGGACATCTAATCTGTTTTAGGCACTCCCTTAGGAGTAGCAATAAAGCAGTGAATAAGACAGAAGAAATTTCCACCCTCTTGACCTTACATGCTTACATATCTTTCATATATTATTATTATTTTATGATTTTGTCCTCTGCTATATGATAACACCATTAAGGACAGAGACCAATCTGACTTATGTGAAACCTTAGGATCTGGTATGTTGGACACATATAGGCATTCAATAAAACTTTATAGGAATGAAAAATAAAAAATAGAACAGAGACCGTATTTTCAAAAATGTTTAAATTCCAGAAGGAAGTGCAGACACAAAACTAACTAGAATGAATACATGAATTAACCAACTGTCAACTATCTTCCTGCCTCATTCAAAAAAATGGTACACACAATCACACCTATTGTGCTTTTTTGCTTAAGAATGGGAAATCAAACTCATAAGAATGAGAAAGAAAGAAACATGTTAGTCACAGAAACTAATCCTCACTGTGATTGAAAATCATCTTGTAGTTTTCTGGTAATAAGGGCAAAAAACAAACACATAATGGGTTGACTAATTCATGTTTTTTTAATAGAAAGAAATGTACTATTCTTCCAGAGAAAGAGCTTATCCCTTGGTGCTACCCATGACTCTTCTAGATGTCATACTGATAGAATTCAAAAATTTTGAGCATCTATGTACAAGTAGACATCATTTAAAGCACTCCTGGGGGCAATTCACAGTGTTTCATTATCAGATGGATGAAACCAATTGTCCATGAGGAGGAGGAGGAGGAGGATGAGGAGGAGGAGGAGGAAGAGGAGAAGGATACACTCGTCATTTACTGAACATTAACTCTATGCCAACTCCCTTTTATGTCCGTTATAAATTTTCTTATTTAATACTTGCAACAAACCTATGAGGCAGTTACTTTTATTACTTGCATTTACAACCCAGAAAACAGGCATGGGAGATTAGGGAACTTCCTAAGGGTCACTCAGATAGAGTGTGACATAAGCAAATTCACTCCACAGCAGGGGCTTTACTTTGCAATTCGCAGTTCCCCTCTTTATGGAAGATCTTCAGAAAGCATGAGCAAAAGCAGCTTCCACATTGCAAATCAAAAGAAGCCCACTCTCCCCAAACTTAAGCCCTCAGGCCCCTCATTAATAATTTTTCCCAAGATTTTTCTAGAATCCTTTCTTGTTCTACAGTTATTAGAAAGTTAAATTATACTTTACAGTTAATAGAAAGTTCACGGTTAAAACTTTACAGTTACTGGAAAGTTAAATTCCCAGACATTTTCAATTTTGCTCTTGATTTTGAAGTCTGAGGCTTTCCTCTTAATCAACTAACATGGCTAAGAGAGGACCGGATGCTGCAAGGAATTTGCTTCCTGTTGTAACTGTCCTCCCTAAAGCTAATTGTATTAATAAACCTTCCTGGTCTAATTAGAACTTTGGTGAACCTCTGCTGATAGTGCGGATCATCCTGAATCTGTTTGCTCTGGGAAACTGGCTCCAGCCAGGACTGATAAATGGATACCACGTGTGATCAAGAAACCTGCAGATAGCAAAGCCAGAGGGGGTCACACAATCCCACGGGCGCCACTGGCAGAAATCATCCAGGCATGGAGTTCAGTTAAATTTAACTCAGTACAGGAAATGTTTTCTACTCCAGCTGGATTTCTGCACCTTTGAGCTGTGAATTTAGATGGATGAGCAACAATCTCTCTCCTCCTTGTTTGGCTGGTGACTAGGCCGGACTGATCAAAGGTTTAATGTTGGCAACTTCAAATGCCACTTCTAAGTTTCTGTCGCTTTGATCCTGAAGAAAATAATTTCTTAGAAAAGAAAAAAACATGGGAATGAAAAACACTGGGTTAAAAAATAATACTGCTTCAGACCACAGCACATAATCATTTGGTAAAGCAGTTTCAAGTCCTGAGTTTTAGCATCTGCTAAGGATAGAATTTTCTCCCCCACTCCCAGATTCACATGTTAAAGCAGTAGTAGTTGGAGATAGGGTCTAGAAAGAAGTAATTAAGGTTAAATAAGGTCATAAGGGTGGGGCTCGGATAGAATAGGATAGGATAGGATTGGATTTATGTCCTTACAAAATGAGATGAGACAGCCAGGTGGGAAGAGGTCCTTGGAAAAACTCCAACCAGCCTGCACACTGGGAGGATTGCGCACTGGCATGGAGCCACGGGAGTTGGTGCTGTTTGCAGCGGGGGAAGCCTGGCCCCTCCTATTCCTGGGTGGAACCTGGGATTCAATCTTCAGGCAGGAAGCGCTGTAGCAGGGATTCTGGCCTTGCGGAGCGTCCCTGTTTCCCTCTTTCACCCAATAAACCCGGCCCTCCTCACGCTTCAGATTGTCTGCAAGCCAGATTTTTCGTGGCCATGTGATAAGGACCCCTGTCTTCAGCTGAACTAAGGAAAAATCCCACAACAGAGATATTAGAGAGACCTCCCAGCTCCCACCCCCACCACCACATACAAAGAAGAGGTCATCTGAGCACACAGTGACATGGTGGTTGCCGACAAGCCAAAAGAAGGAATGTTCTGAAACCTACCTTGCCAGCACCCAGATAGTGGACTTCCCAGCCTTCCAAACTGAAATGTTTGTTGTTTAAGCCACCTAATCTACAGCATTTTATTATGGCAGCCCAAGCAGACTAATACAGCATTCAAGCCCTTTCAACTCAAATTTTAAATTTTAGCTAATATTTTGATCTTTATAAGATTCTCACATAAAAACTCAGACCCCAGCGTAATTTTTGCTGACACTAAATTTTCTAGAAAACTTTACACTATTGTGTAGAATGTGTACACATACAGAAACCCAGAGATGTTCCCAATCAGACTTAATATTCAAGTCCCCCAATATTGCACATACCAAATACATGTCTATAATCCCTTACCATGATTCTGAAATCCTGAAACCTCTGAAAACCAAACATCCAGTCACAAATTTAGAGCAAACTCCTTTGGTGGCAAACCTTATTGGGAATAGATGTGAAACAATTTTTGGTATTTAAAAATTGCCTCTGGAGTGAAGTCAAACATTTGATACATTTTGTCCGAAAGAATTCTTTTCCCTCTCCCTCTCCTTCTGCTTCTGTTTCTGCTTCTTTTTCAAAAAAGCAAAAAAGGTTGGTGTTTCCATTCAGGGAAACAGCCTTACAGTGTAACTTGGCTATTCAGATCACTGTCATAATTAAGGCTTGTGTCCAACAGGCAACAGTGAAAATAGCCTCTTGTTAATTTTAGAGGTTTTATTTATTTACATGGAAAACTTCAACATTTGGGATAGTGCCTGAAGCTGACTAATTTTTTGATGCTTCAGTTTTCTTTTACACTTCGTTTGAGGCTTAGAATTAGTTGAAGAAGATGACAATGTAAGTTTGTTAATGTATAATATACTAATACATATTTAATTAATATCTGATTATATATTAATGCATATATAATAATAAAATATAAACCTCTTTAATACGTCAAACTACTAAAGATAAACCATAAGGAAAAACTTTTTAATTTCTCCTTTTTCTTCTTTTTTTTGAGACATGGTCTTGCTCTGTCACCCAGGCTAGAGCGCAAGTGGTGTGATCATAGCTCACTGCTGTCTCCTACTTCTGGGCTCAAGAGAGCCTCCTGCCTCAGCCTCCTGAGTAGCTAGGACTAAAGACACATAGCCACCATGCCAGGCTAATTTTTTAATTTTTAGTAGAGATGGGGTCTTGTTATGTTTCCTATAGGGGCTGGTATCAAACTCCTGGCCTCAAGTGATCCTCCCACCTTGGCCTCCCAAAGTGCTGGGATTACAGGCAAGAACCATGGTACCGGCTCTTCTTTCTTTTGATGAAGAATCAAAATAGGAAATTTCCATCATAATCAGCACTGCTGCAGTTAGGTTGGCCTATTCTTTGGAAGGAAACTTTCACATCAGAACCAGTCTTCCTCCTAACATCTCCCAACTAGGTTCATTAAACATATACCCATGAGACTTGCATTCTCAGCCATACTTGGGGCCCATCCTGTTCCCAGGCAAGGTAACACTGAGATCTGCAGTCTCCTGATGCATCAGCTTAGCCTGCTATTTCCAACCATGCTTTGTTCCCAGTTTTCCTGAAACATTTCAGCCTTAAAACTGACCCGGGAAGAGCATCTGTTCTCCTGACCTCAATCATTATGTACAGATTTTGCATTACCTGAGGCCTCTCCCTGTCCCCTAGGTCTTCGTGATCACTTCTGTCCTCTCTAATTATGTAGATGTTCTTCCATCTTGGACTCAGCTTTGATTTTTTTTGCTAATGTAACTCAAAATCAGGGCACATTTTCCCATTTCCTTCATGGGCTTATCTTCTAGTTTCAGATCTATCTGTAGATTCACACCCAGTCACAGTGTAAATAACCCCTGGCTTTACTCCAGCATTCAGACCCTTAGGCTTCATCAGGCACCATTGTCTCTACCTGGAATATGTTTCCAGCTCTCTCCAATCTGGCCTGCCCTTCTGTTACCCACACTGAATTCTGACTAACACAGGTGCTTACTGCGGCTAAAATGAATCCATGTTCGAATTCTGGCTCTGAAACAGACAACTAGGCAGGTTCAAGTTAATTTATCTGTTAAAGCCCCTGAGAGTTAATTCACCTTTTTAGATCTTTGAGGGTTTATTAATAAACAGGGTAATATAGAGCATCTATCTCAATTAGAAGCTGAAAAGATTAAAGTGACTGTGCAGGGTAGATTTGCAAATATTTTAGTGTTCTTTCTTCCTTTTACTATACAAACTTCATTTAAATATCTTTCTAATAGAAATATGTTGATGTTGGTCAATGGTTTGATATTGTTCTGATCATGCTCCTCAGTAAAAAATGCATTTTATATTATCACTCAGAACACTCATACATGCACGTATACATACGTAACTGAAGTTTTACAAACCATCATTCACCCTTGTTAGTTGGGATACCTCTGACATTTTGTATTGCATGGCGCTTGACTCTATTATGTTCTATTTCCTTCATCTTTTTTTTAAATTGCAGGTCCCAATCCACAAAATTGAATTCATAACCCACAAATAGGTCACAACCTAAAAAACACAATAGACAACAATGCCATGGTATCACATTGGCTACCAATGGCACTGAAATCTATGAGCTCTTGTTCAAAAGGTCTACCAGGAAATTCTTTGTCTTTCCAACATGAGTTATTTCATTCAGTGATTAAAGAGTTAGAGAAGTTTAAAAAAATCTAAGTCCATTGTTCCTACTCTGCAAATTAAAACCAAGTGAGTAAGTACATGTGTCAGCCACTTTGGTGGTTAACACCTAAAATGCTCGAGACTGGCAGGAAGGTGTAGTTGGGTCACTTCTCCCACGAGCCTGTTCCTAGGGCAGAAGAGGGTAAGATACAAGCAAGTAAAGGGATTCATAGATATTGCTTGCGTGCATACAATAAACCTCCTCTCATTCTTTCTGGGGATAATACTGGCCTCTCAGAGGCTTTTAAAAGGCCCTTCTCTTCCAGAAACCTCCAATGGCACCTGAATCACACAACTAATCCACAAACCACAACAGATTCCATATTAACTGCCATGGGATAGCATTCAAACATTTTCCCCTGTATTTCTCATATTTCTGAGAAGTTTTTGTAGGAGATGCCAAGCAGAATGCTAGATGGAGGCCACAGAATCCCCTCACCTCTGACACTACGTTCTCCATCATTTCTCAAAGATGACCTGGACTACCTGGGTCCACAGTCACCAGCTTCCCCGAGAGATGTGAGCTCATTTGAACCAGGTAGAACTTCCTATTCAATCGGCCACAATTCCTCTACATGGCTCTTAAAATGCCTTTGCAGTGAAATCGTCGTTCTCTTGGGATGGGGAATACAAACCAGGAGTGAATAATCCTGTCCCATTTATTGACACTGCACACTTTTTCCCTGTGCTATTTTCTTTTATGTAAACACATCTATAAAAACCCTTACAGTTGGCTGGGCATGGTGGCTCATGCCTATAATCCCAACACTTTGGGAGGCCAAGGTGGGTGGATCACCTGAGGTCAGGAGTTGGAGACCAGCCTGGCCAACATGGCAAAACCACATCTCTACTAAAAATTCAAAAATTAGCTGAGTGTGGTGGCACACACCTGTAGTCCCAGCTACTCGAGAGGCTGAGGCAGGTGAATCGCTTGAACCCGGGAGACAGAGGTTGCAGTGAGCCGAGATTGCACCACTGGATTCCAGCCTGGGCAACAGAGTGAGACTCTGTCACAGAAAAAAAAAAAATGAAAACCCTGACTACCCTTACAGTTGTCCTCAGATTTTTTCTTTTCTTTTTTTATTAGAGAGACTCAAGTCATGGGGGCTGTTGTTGCTGAGAATGTCCTGAATCATTTGGACCCAACCTGGTTGTATCTGTTTTCCTTTGTTTTGAAACCATCCCTATAAACTTTATAAAATTAATCAGGGAAGAAGGTTGTGGGGGAAGAAAATAAACCAAACTTGCCACACATTCAGCACAAATTATTAGGTCAGCTTCCTCTGACCTGCTTCCTCATAGATGTTTGTGTATTGTTCTAGAATCACATAGACCCTGTTACACAAGATATAGTTTCCCTCAACTGCTGTACAGATAACAACTTGAACATTATGAAACATTCAGTTTTTCCTTTAAGATATTCTTTCAGGTCCTGCATACCAGTAAAACTACTGACGCCAGCTGGTCTATAGGGCTCCAAGAGAAGCTGACTTACCAAATAATTCATTTTCCAAAACCTGATGATTTTATCCTCCTTACTCCAACCAATCAAGAATCCCAAATTTCCAGCCCCTCACTCTTCATAATCCCTTTAAAAATCCCAGCCCAGAACTCCTTCAGGGAGATGGATTTGAGGGTTTCCTCTTATCTCCCTGATCTGCACTTGCAATGATTAAACTCTTTCTCTGCTGCAAATGATTTGTTACTGTGCAAATGGGCATACGAACCTGTTGGTCTTACAACAGTTTTACTCAAAGTCTTTTTAAAATATTTCCCTCACCAGGCAACTCCCAGCAAAGCCCCTACCCTCCATTCAAGTTCCAGCTGATGTCTGTATTTTTAACTCACTGAAGTCCACTTGTAATTAGAGAATCAGAATTCAAGGTTTGAATCTCCAAACCCTTAGAAGCCAGGTTTCCTTTTAGATTTTCTGCTTGGGAGAGCAAACAGGACTGTCCATCAGTCTATGCTACAAATCTGAGTATGTCCAGATTTCTATTCTTCATTATTATAAAACCATCTTGATATAATAATCTTTTTCTGGCTGGGCACAGTGGCTCATGCGTGTAATCTCAGCACTTTGGGAGGCTGAGACGGGCAGATCACCTGAGGTCAGCAGTTCGAGACCAGCCCGTCCAACATGGTGAAACCCCATCTCTACCAAAAATACAAGATTACCCAGATGTGGTAGCAGGTGCCTGTAATCCCAGTTACTTGAGAGGCTGAGGTCAGAGAATCCCTTGAGCTCAGGAGGCTGCAGTGAGCTGAGATCACGACACTGCACTCCAGCCTGGGTGACACAACGAGACTCTGTCTCAAAGTAATAATAATAATGGTAATCTTCTTCCATTTTATGTGAGTTTCTCATTCTCATCCAGTTCATATTTCTTTTCTATGTCCTGAAAAACTCAGCCTATATGTATTTTTAAATATATTTTATTGTATATATTTGAGGTTTATGACACGATGTTATGAGATACACAGACAGTAAAATCATTGCTACTTTAAAGCAAATTAACATATCTATCATCTCACATGGTTACTTTGTGAGTCTGTGACAAGAGCAGCTAAAACCTACTTATTTAACAAAGAACCCCAATACCATACAGTTTTACTAACTACAGTCCTCATGTTGTAAATGAGATTTCTAGACTTGCTCATCCTACATATCTGCTGCTCTGTGCCCTTTGACCTGCATCTCCTCACTTTCTGAAGTTTTGAAGCACAAACTGGCAAAGAAAGGCTTAAATTTAAATTTATTTTAGCTGAAACCTCAATGGAAACCTCTGTTTTCCATTCTGAGCTTCAATTTTGTGGTCTGAGCAGGTGCACGCACGTGTGTATCCAAACATACCAATAAGCAAAACCAGTGCGCGTGGTCGGTTTTCTGCGAACAGAGTGCAAATCAAATTGTAACAGAGTTCCTATTCTCTGAAATACCACTGGAAAAGAAATAGAACTTTTTTTTCTTTTAGGATTATGATTGATTTTAGGCCTTGTCCAGAAACTACTGAGAGTTAAAGTAGCACATTTCTCAAGGAGTTGGCCCTTAGTGAAGAGCGATGGCTGTGCTATGTTTCATTTTTCGCCAACCATCCTTCCACGTTTCAGGAAACAAAATCACATTTCATCGTGTCCCTGGCTTTTCCAGGCAGAAATGAAGCAGTGCTTCCCATGTTCCTTTCAACTCAGCTAAAAAGTGGGCTCTGCTGACATATGTGCCAGAAAAGTGTCACCATAAAGCTCAAAGTGAAAGAGGGGTGAGCTTAAGCAGGTTTCCCCATTGCCTGCTGGAAGATACCAGAAAAATGAGAAGGAAGTTTCAAAAACAGCACAGAAGTGCTCTCACATGGAGAACTTTTCTCAAAACTTTTTTTTTTTTCTGAAATTGGATGTAGTGAAGATCTAACATGGAAGCCCATTGCAAAGGAAAATCCAGAAATACAGCCTTAATGAGCGTGGACATTGCTGCTGATGGTGTGGAAAAAATTGTTTTGCACTTAGACCACCATAGCTGGGAATCTCCTCATTGCCTAGGGAGTTTACAGTCACCTAATTTAGAGGCAAAGAATATGAAACTATGTTTTAAGGAAGATAACATGATTTTTTTCTTTTCTTTCTTTTTTCTTTTTTTAAATAGAATCCGTTTGTGGAAGGGTGATAAATATATTTCCCTTTAGAACTTTGCTACTCAGAGTGTGGTCTATAGCAACACCCAGGGCCCAGTTTGAGATACAGAATCTCAGGTGCCCCCTAGACCTGGTGAATCCACACTGGCACATACAGGGATGTGGATGCACTTTATAGTTTTAGAAGCACTGCCATAGATAACATGATTGAGGCAGGAGAATAGGGCCTGGAGGCAGGGAACCTAAGACTGTTTCATGCCAATTTCCTGGAACTAAATTGAAAGGAAAACCCTAACTTTCCACGCCTAAGTTGACCTTTTCTATGCGGCAGATGGGAAGTTGGCTGTCTGCAATAAATCAGACTGATTGCAGGTCCAGTCTTCCTTGGCAACTTTGTAACTTCACCCTAGCCTCTGATTGGTTGCAAAAAGCAGCCAAGGACAGAACGCAGCCCAGAGGATTCATGTATCTTAAGTTAAAAAAAAAAAAAAAACACCTCAGAATGCAGGTCATTGGTTGCAAAAAGCAACCAATCAGATGTTTGCACGGGAGTGTGACCTTTGTAACTTCACTTCAGCCTCTGGTTGGCTGTTTTCTGCAACCAATCAGACCGATTGCAGGCTACTGCTTCAGTTACATGAGGTGAGCACGAAGTGGCCAATGGGAAACTTCTAGGGGGTATTTGAACCCAAGAAGATTCTGTATTTGGGCCCCTGAGCTGCTGCTTGTGGCTCGAGTCCATTCCCACACTGTGGAGTGTACTTTTGTTTTCAATAAATCCCTGCTTTCCTTCTTTGTTCCTTCATTCTTTCTTTGCTCTGCTAGACGTTTTGTCCAATTCTTTGTGCAAAACGCCAAGAACCTGGACAACTTGCAGTCACCACCCTCTACTGTTAACATGATCTTTCTAAGTATTTTGGTGGAAGACTTGCTAAACACATAGTATTTGCTTGCTAAATACGAATGCTAGGCCATCTTTGCTCAATTCATTCTGTAGAAATGATATTGGGGATGACAGAATGCAGCACAGAGGACTCATGTATCTCAAGTTAAAAAACAACAACAACTCAGAATGCAGGTCATGGGAGTTAGTGAAAAGAAAGAGACACTCATTTGGTCTTGTATCAAAATTCATTTCTACTAAAAAGGTGAGGGAATTGCCAAATGAGCCTCTCCATACTAAAAGAGTGCTGCATCATAGAAATAAAAAAAAGTAATTTAGTCTCAACAAAATAATACATGCTTATAGTGTAACCAAACAAATACCCTGTTGCCTTTCAAATGTAAAGATATGTTATCTGAGACCCCTAAAAATAAACATCTGGATTCCCGTCCTATGACTCAAACATGAATCTTCACCACAACATATTTTTCAGTATTGTACACTCTTGCTCTGCTCTGTGTGGCTTATCTCGTAACTCATGGTCCTTGAAGTAAATCCATCACTACACTGTGTGTGGTGGGGGAGGAGGGGTGTGGGAGTGTTTCTGTGTGTGTGTCAGGTTTTTGAGAATAACCTGTAGGCCTACCAAGGCCAATAAGGAATTGTAAAATGGAAGGAGTGAGCCTAATTTCCAGATTGTGTGGGTGACCCCTCTGTTCTTCCAGAGGGCAGTCTTGGTAAAACACAAAGCCTTACTTTAAATCCTTGGTCTCAAGCTCTTGTGCATGTATTTACACTTTCAAATTCAATTCATTTAGCTTGCTCATCTATTTATTGTGTGTATTAAATACAAGACACTCTAGGAAGCTCTGAGCGATGCATAGATGAGTGTGATTAGGACCCTGCCTCATGAAATTTGAAGCCAGGTGCAGAGATTAATGGAAATAGAGCATCTGCCAAATTTAAGGGGCAGAACTAGTCTGTTGTTAATTTGAGTTTCCTCCCAGTCATAGTATAAATTGCTTAATCTTACTTGATTTATTATCCTGAAGGAAAAAATGTCAATCTAGCACAATTAGATGGTATAATGAATGTCTTAGTTTAGCTTCTGAGTATTCTTAAAAGCAGAAGTTTTTGTCTCTCTGAGGACAAATACGAATTTTATTCAAAATATTGATATATAAAAAATTCTTCAGATCCTGGGACATGCTACAAGCATTAGGTAATCAGGGGTTTTCCAATTATTGGCTCCTTCTCACTCAAGAAATTTCCTTGGTCATATCAATCCAGATACCTCATCCCCAGTAAGCTGTTTACGTACCACTCAGCACACAGGATAGGCACATAACAATTTAACCAGTAATTAAGGAAATGATTTTGGTGGAACATTAATATCATAGGACTCACTTCTTTAAGAACCTGTTTTGCTTTAAACATCATTCCTTTATTCATTCATTCAGTGTGTTATGATCTATTGTGTGTCAGGCACTGTTCTAGGAGTACAGGGAAGAACAAAACAGATCAGTCCCTTATGTCTTGGGGCTTATGAAGTAGGTGGGTGGGCAACTGACAATGACATGCAAATAAATTATTCAAAATAAGATCATCTTAAAGAAGGATAAGTGCTGTAAAAAAATAAAACTGGTTAAGTTGTAGATGACAGTTGCGGTGGTTGCAGCTAGCTTATTGGAGTCACTTTGTTTATCTGATAAATATGTATATAGTGTTTGCTCTGTGCCAGAACTATACTAAGTTCTTCACAAATATTAAATCATTTGGTCTTCCAAACGTTCCTGTGAAGGAAATATTTTTATCATTGCCATTTATAAATAGGGAAACTAAGGCACAGAAAGGTCAAATCACATGTGCTGGGTCACTGGGAACTAGGCTCAGATTTGAACCCAGAATCAATAATTCAGAGTCTATGCTACAGCCCCCTCTGCCATCTGGATTGCTGGTAACGCTGACTGGCATGACCATGAAGTCACTGGAACCCAGCCTACTCAATGGCTATTCCCTCCCATAAAAATATCTCCATATACCAGGTGAAGGGCATTTATTTCCAAATGCACATCTCCATTAAAGTATTCTTGACAGCCCACATTGCTGTATCTAATATCAGCTGCACTCAAATTTCATAAGATAAACGTTATACGTTTTTATTGAGGTATAATTCATAGACAGTGAAATCACATACAGACCTTAAATAATTTGCTGAGTTTGACAGATGCATAGACCCATGTAACCCCTATCAATATATAGACCATTTCTAATACCTGAGAAGGGGCCCTTGTTCTCCGTCTGGGTCAACTGTATACGTTTTAGTTGCTTCTGATAGAGATATTTCTGCAGGCATTTTGCATAATGAGTAGCATTTTGATTCCTTATAAATGTTTCACCTGTCAGAAAAAACCAATAATCATATTTGAAAGCCAAGCTGCAATTCTGGACTTCTCTGCTCTTTTTTGTGCATCTGCAAATCTTCTTCTTGAAGTGTTAGTCACGCTCTGATTTCTACTAAATACATCTGGCTCTATAAACTTCACCAGCTGACGCTATGCCTGGGAAAAGGCACAGACTTCTTTGTCTGCAATTTGTAATCTAGAATTTCATCACTCATAATTCACAAAACAAATTGAGCAGGTTGTAAAGACTCACTCAGGCCTCTGAAAGACATCTCCCAGCATCACAGAAACTAGAGAGGCAGCATGTGCAAATACTATTTGCAGGTACAACTTGCCTGTAGTTGTAATATTGCTTAAATGCTGTGCATAAGACATTTCCTCAGCAGGTCTTTAACTTCAACGAAGTGAAGATGGTGAGTCAGAAGGAATACTGAGCCTGTGCTTCTCAAACTTCAGCATGCATATTCATTTTACCTGAGAATCTTGTTAAAATGCAGATTCTGATTTGATAGATATAAGACTGGACCTGAGAACTGGCATTTCTAATAAGCCCTTGGTGATGCTGATGCCGTTCGTCTAAGGACCATATGTTAAGCAGGAAGTTACTAAAGACAAATTCAGGCTTGGATTAAATAAACATTTACAAGTATGCAAAGGTTTTAGGGATTAAAGGGATCTTTGGCCAAAAAAGTTTGGGAACCACTGGGTTAAACTTAAAGTGTTTTCTTTAATGTAGGACTTAAAGTCTTTAACATGATAATATGAATTGTCACTCTTCAAGAGAGCATTATGACATATGAGGTTTCACAAATGTATTGATATTACATCATAAACACTTTCTCTGCAGACCATCTGATGGTCTTGGGTGCTCCTTCAATAGGGCAAGCTGACCATAGAGACTCTTTCCTATCCTAAACTTCTGTTATTCCAAGGGTGCACCCTCAGGGGTTTGACTGTCTTAAAAAAAGAAATTAAACAAGGCAAAACAAAAAAAATAGTCCCAATGTTTTGTACTAATTTTTGCTTCTTTCTGAAAAGGCAGTTTCCACAAATTTTCTCGGCAAGAAGGCCAAGTCTGTACACTCTTGGCAATTTATTGCCTAAGGACAAGGAGAAGTGGGTACATACAAAACTTTGTCACATATAAACTGTGTAAGCAAATTCATTACATCAATGAGCTCACAAATAACGATCAGGTTCTATAATTCACTTTCTCCACATAATGATGCTGTTCACTCTTCTCATTGGCCCAACTAGGAAATCTGAGGCCTATGTCTTATTTCTCTCAGTTACATCCTTCCCTCAGTGTGTCTCTTCCTAGAGACATGACTTTGTTGGACAGCTGGGCTTTTTTAGTTCTTTTTCAGACTGCCAAATTGGTCTATTCCATCAGGGTATTTAAAACAAAAACAGATTTTATGTACTTCCAGTAAGATTAAGAAATTCTGAATGAAGATGGCAAATTTTCTCTTCTGATTTGGACCTTTCTGCTACTCTCACAGATATACTTGGAATACCTGAAGTGCAGTCTTGCACCAAATTATGACATTCTTGTTTAGCTACTTAAGTGCATTGACCTGATGTGCAGGGCTGAAGCTTTCAAAATTGTATTTATTCAAAAAGATAACATTAAGGAATGCTGCTGTAGCTATTCAGTAGACTCTTGTTACTCTTACATTTAATATTTATGGTTTCACAGAAAACTAAACACTACGTGTTCTCTCTTATGAGTGGGAGCTAAACATTGGGTAAAGATGAACACAAAGATGGCAACAGTAAATACTGGGGATTCCAAAAGAGGGTGGGGAGTTAAGGTAGGCAAATTATCTATTGGGCTCTGTGTTCACTATCTGGGCCATGGGATTATTAGAAACCTAAACGTCACCATCATGCAACACATCCATGTAACAAACCTGTACACGTACCCCTTGAATCCAAGAATTTTAAAAAATATATGTATTTATAGTTTCAAATAATCCTGAATAAGCCCAGTGGTTCACTGAATATTTAAAAATGACAAATCTGAGTTCTGCCTCTTGCAAGGATAGTAGGTAGGAGCAGTTTGCTAGATGTGAGAAAGTGGCTAGCTGACTTCCTAGCATCTTGGTCTTATCTCCACCTGATTGTCTCATCTAGATCATTTTGGGAGCTTCTCTCATTTTCATTACAATTCATAGGGCAGGAATTATTACTCAGATTTTACAGGTAAGGAAATTAAGGGCTTTCTCTGTTGTAAAAGTTATAATATGTATTGGAAGTATCCTCACAGCTATCAAGAATCAGCTCCATTAATCAGAATTGCTGCTGTGACCTTAATGAATAATGGAACTTAGGCATATTTCTAATAGGCAAATCCCCTTGTAATAATTTCAGATACAAACTGCTGCTGCTATAGATATTTGAGGACTAAAATCAAGGACAGTCACAAACCCACCACAACATTAAGTCTAGTATAGTTATCTTAAAAAAATTCAAACTTTATAAGAAGATTGGATGTATAAACATTTAAGTTACAAACAAAGTATGCTTTTGAACAGCTGGTTCCATTTCCTGCCATTGCCTCCATGTAAAATCACTATAATAAAAATGCTTCTCTACTTATGTTGGGGCTATGTTCCGATAAACCCATTGTAAGTTGAAAATATTATAAATCAAAATGCATTTATTATACCTAATCTTCTGAGCATCGTATCTTAGTCTGGCCCACCTTAAACATGCTCAGAACACTTACATTAGCCTACAGTTGGGGAGAATTATCTAACACAAAGCCTATTTTATAGTGAAATGTGAATATCTCTCGCAACTTATTGAATACTGTGCTGAAAGTGAAAAGTAGAATCATTGTATGGGTATTTGAAATACAGTTTTTATTGAATGTGTTTCACTTTCCAGCCACTGTAAAATTAAAAAAAATCATAACACAAACCATTGTAAATTCTGGAACCATATATAATCATTAACATTTTTGGATGCTGTTTATTGGTCTGTCCTCGGCTAGTGGCTAAAGACACATTTCTGAAAATATAAGCAGAGTCAGTAAAAAGACTATTCCCATAACAAATGTAAATCCCCTATAAAAGTATTATAAAAGCTGTTAAGCACTCTACAAAGTTCAGAGTCACATGTTTAATTTTCTACACCAAAGACAAGTAAACTTCCATTTTTAACAAATTAAGTAAACAAAGCTTTTAAATCCAGACATCTTATAAACAATCATTACTTACTAACATCAGTGTCAATATTTTAATTTAACATCTTTAATTTTCCACATGATCAGGAACGCTTACATGATCATTAGCTGCAATAATGATGTGAAAATTACATTAATGAGCTTTGGTGAAAACATCCAGGAAATATTTTATATAGACTGAGTTTTAAAAATGGTTCTCTTGGGACTGTAAGAAACCTCAGCTGTTGCCCTCTCCCCTCTGTGTAGGCAGACAATGAAATGGGGTATCAGAAGCATTGGAGAAGAGGGATCATTTCACCCAGTAGAACCAATCTTACTCTAGGATAGTTGGGTTAGAGTCAACAAAGTCATCTGTGTGTTTCAGCCAACCCATGCCTCTAGAGTTTAGTGCTTTAAGAAAATTAGACTACCATTAAATAAGTCCATAAATTCATGGACAAAGGAATTATCCTCATATAAATGTAAATATTTTGATTTTTTATTACAATATAATTTTTCAAAACCCAAATGATCATCTCTGAAAAAATACATAAAATACATAAAAATATATAAGTAATTTATATTAAATGAATAATTTGATAAAGAATAAGAAGGAAAGCTTTTAGAAGGTACTCCATCAGTAGATAAGGGACTGCCATTTTACTCACAACAAATTTCGATAAAATAAAAATTTATGTATAATTGTATATTCATTTCCTAGGCCTGTTTAGGACAAATCTGCATGTTCTGAAGATATTCAAGCACAGAACACATCGCCCAGTGAGTGATGGTGGAGGTGGCCTGAAGGTTGGGCTGGTGCTAGGATTGAATGCAGCTGACACATGATCAGGGAGGCAGAGCCACTTAGAGTGACACAGAATCGGGGATTTTCAGAGCAATTCACTCTTACAAAACTGAGGGAACTGTTGAAGTCCACTGAAGATTGTTGCTGTTGCATCTACTTTTGGGACTTAACTGAACTGTAAATCAAGGTTGGCAGTTGGGAAAGAAAGCTGGACACAAAATGAGAGAGAGGGAGGACAAACTAGACCCTAACTCTGACTTTTACTACTTCCCACCTCAGCAATTCAGTTGGCCCACAGAAGATGCTGGTGATCTTCACCAGGGAACTGTCCTCAAGCCTTGGACTTTTAGAAGTTGAAGGAGGAAATCCAGCCAGAGGTAAAGGACTGCAGACAGCTGCCCTGTGCTAGCCAGGTGACCCAAGATCAGCAACATCCTGTGTGTAACACTTAGGAGTCCTCTTGTTTTCCCACAGATGGGACTGTAGGCTCATTTCAGTTTGCAAGAGGACATCCTGCTAGACTGAATTATTATTCACAAGTACAAGATGGACATTTGGTATCCAAGATGGTATTTGACGATTTTCTCTCTAAAGATTCTCTGCTCAGACATTCTGTCTCCTTACAAAGTACATGGGAGTCCATTGAGAACAGGAATAAAATAGCAAGTCAATTGGAGAATCTGATTAGAATTAGATTGTATATCATTTCATGGGCACTTTTATTATGACATGGCTCTGAAGTGTAGTCATTTGTTTGCCTGTATCTTGAGCTCCCCTAAAAGAGAGAACATGTTCTATTCAACATTGTAGTTGTAGTACAAGGCACTCGACCAATGCAAATATATGAATTTGCATGAATTCACTGATAGTAAATCAATGACACTGTTTTTACCTAGAACTAAAAAAAAAAAACCCTGAATTATTGGTACAACAGAGTCCTAGTGCTAAGATCAAATTTGATTTGTTATATACATATATATGTGTGTGTTATAAATGTGGGTGCGTATGTTATATATGTGTGTGTATACATAATATATACACACACCAGAGACAAAAAATATATAAGTGTATCATGGTGAAACCCTGTCTCCACTAAAAATACAAAAAATTAGCTGGGCATGGTGGTGGGCGCCTGTAGTCCCAGCTACTCAGGAGGCTGAAGCAGAAGAATGGCGTGAACCTGGGAGGCGGAGCTTGTGGTGAGCCGAGATTGCGCCACTGCACTCCAGCCTGGGCGACAGAGTGAGACTCCATCTCAAAAAAAAAAAAAAAAAAAAAAAAAAAAAAATATATATATATATATATATGTGTGTGTGTGTGTGTGTGTGTGTGTGTATACACATATATGTATTTAAAACTACATATATATGTGTTTACAGCTGAAGCGACTCTGTGTGTGTGTGTGTGTGTGTGTGTGTGTGTGTGTGTGTGTATTCTGTCTCTTCAACTGTAAAAGAGACACCATCAAGGACTATTTCCCAAAAGCACTATGCGTAGCATTCACATTCTTCCCTGCCATTTGCAACTATATCTTCTCTAATTTGCCAAGTACTCTTCAGTCAGGCTACCAGGATGATGCTCAGCTCTGTTTGCTTCATTTTCCTGAAAGAGTCTCTAAACAAAACCCTCACATTTCAAAACTTGGCTCAAATCCTTCCATCTCCAAGCAGGTCATTACTATACATGTTAAATCCCATGCTCTGTCTCACACATACCTCCTCCTCAATATCTACAGAATCTTTTACAAGCCCTACTCCTGTGACTGTACATAAACCATGCTCCCTTGCAAACTTACTTTTCCTGTTTAGGGGAATATATATTACCTTCCAAAGGGACAGTAAATTACTTAATGTTAGTGAGCATACCTTTGCACCCCCCGCAGCTAGTGTGACACATCTCTTTGATTTTCAAGGACAGCCTTCAGAATTTTGTTTTATTTAGAAATGACAATTTGATCATATGTAACTAAATCTAATTCAATGTAATATTTTTACATTAAAAAGACTTTTTCTATAAATAATTAGTCTTCTCTCCATCCAGAACTCACTGTGCTATGTATATACATAAGTTATTTTACATCACGCTTCAGATAATCATAAATAAATGCATACAAAGATCAGAAAAATCTCCCTTGTCAGACCAAGTTTTCTCATTATTTTGTTTCTAAAAAATATCATTCAAGTAGTCACAATACCTTGAATTTAGAAGTAACTCAACACACATGAGTCAAACAGAATTTCAAACAAATCACACCTGTGTTTTGGAGATTCCTTAACCTACAGGCTATTTTTAGTGTTCCCTAGGGGAGAGACAGAGTGAAAGAGCAAGTTTCAGAAAAAAGAAAGAAATATATAAACATTGATGAGGAAAGCTGCAGAAGAATACTGGCATGAGAGCAGGGAATAACCTCTGGGATCACTAAGTCCAAAGCCTCCTTTACACCCTGTGGCCAAGAGCAACAACCTACCTAAGGCAAACTGACCACTAGCAGACTTTTACCAGATTCATGGTGTTGCCCTGGATCTTGGTTTTCATTCCCCAGCAGACATTGATATTTTTCTGCCCCACATGAAGGGTAGGATCCCATTACATAAGCAATTCCTATTATGGTGTACAAGACCCTGTTGGTGTCCTACACCATGTCCACCATCTAAGGTGACTCCTGCAGCTTAGGTGCACAGTTCCCACACATGCTGATGTCTTCCTCCCTTACATGCCCAGCCTCTCAGATGGCCCCAAGAGGGGTTGAACCCCAGTTGTTCGTATCAGTGGCCCACTCATCCAAGTACACTTTAATGACCTTTCTCCTTTCTCTGCTTCACTCCCCCTACTCCACTCACTATGGTACCTGGGATCACTTTCAAATAATCCACCTGTATACAAGTGCTTTTCTCAGAGTCAGCTTTTGCAGGATTCCAAATTAAGACCTATGGAAAGGGGCCAAATGCAATAAATTGTCAACATCATTTTCTAGTTCGAACACTTATAATGTTTCCTTCCTTTAAACTTTTTAATGATAATTTTTTAATTCAGGTGTCAAGACTTCTTTTACTACAGAGAAATAAGGTACACATCCAGCTGCAACTAGAGATGCTGAGTAAACCTTAATGCCCTTCCACCTGCCATGTAAGGACTCTGTTTGTTTCATGAATGGGAAAATCAACAGATCAATCAGCAGGGTAAGTTTTGTTCACATTTGGGAAAAGATTTAAAGTAAGCAGTTCAAGCACTATTATGACTCACCCTATTGCATCAAGGACTCCTCTGTGGATAAAATGAACACACTGCTAATATTCACTCACCCATGATAACAATAAAGAATTCTCAGTGTTTCTGAATGGGTGGTTAATTAGCAAGTGAACATTGCTCTAGGGCAGGGCCTCTGGAACTTTCAGGAGCAAACCACTTGCCTGGAGATCTTGTTAAAATGCATATTCTGAGTCAGTAGGTCTGGGTGGGAGCCAAGATGCTATATTTCTAATAAACTCCCAAACATACTTTGAGAGGTAGAGCTGTGAACATGTGCTTTCCCATAAGGCAGCCACTAGCCACATGTGGCTATTTACACTTAAAATGAAATAAAACTAGAAATTCATTTCCTCAGTTACAAAAGTCACATTTCCAATGCTCCACAGCTACATGTGGCTAATGGCTACTATACAGACAACACAGATACAGAACATTTCTAGCAGTGCAGAAAGCTTTGGATAGAATATTAGATTAAACATCAGAGAAATGTTCTCAAGTAATACTTTACATTTCTTTGATTTTTGATTGTTTTAATCTTTCCTTTCTATTTCTCACATTCCCCAATTCTTTCCAACATCCCATGCTGTTTGTGGCATTTTTTCTTCTCTTACGCATTCATACAGGATTCAGAAAGGGAGGGTGTGTCTAAGGCATCTTATAGGTAAACTTCTTTTAAAAGAGCTGGTTGAAATTCCATGGGTCATCAAGACAATGTGCACTTCACAAATCTTATTTCCAAGTTTTTGTTTGTTTGTTTTTTGTTTTTGTTTCTTGTAGAAGATAGTGTGGGGCAATTACATTAAATTTGATATGGCTTATATGTCCTCTTTCCTTAGTATGCTGGCTTAGCAATAATCTTGTTCAATTTTATTATCCCAAATAAAAATATGTGCAGACACCACTCATTTTTTAGTATGACGATTGAGAAAACAGATCTCTTCATTTTCATTAAAAACAGATTCTTTTTTTTTTGTCTTGATAGTGCTCTTCCAATCTACCTTTCAATGAAAATTATACTTTTTTATTGACTCATATAGTCATTTATCTTTTCCACTAGCTGAAAATGCCTTAGAAATATAATACTTGTTTTCTTCTCAGTTAATCTGTTAGAGTTTCAGGAAGTCAGGAGTGGCCATATGATAAACAGGCTTTCTGGAAAATAAAGATATGCCTGAAGTTCAAATACAGCATGAATTGCTTGATTGAAATTAAATGCAATTCAGTTTAGAAAACCACAGATGATGACAGAATATACTGTAGGCAACGCATCCATAGAAGACACCAGAGATGGTGCTAGACCAATTATTCTAGCTCTTGAGTTTTAAAGTCTAATCTGAGACAGTGAAAGTTGCAAAAAATAAAAGATTCAGAATATGTTAAAAAATTTCCCATACCGCAAATAAAGAAAGATCTAGAATTTAGTTGTCTATTGGATGTTCTTTACCTTTGTGGTCAAACAGTGGTAATAGCCTTCTGATATTCATACCTAGCTAGTATACCTGGAAAGGTTCTCTGAAAAGTAGCAAGTAGTGATTGAGTCCACTTCAAGATCTGTAACAAATTCAACGGAATACTTGGCCTATCTCAAATGTTTGATACATTTTGTGTACTTTAATTATCAAAACTGCTGGTGGAAGCAGATTCGGATTTTAAAATGCCTTTACTTGCACTGACAACTTGAAAAAGAAAAATCCAGACTGCTCATTGTTCGTGTTATTAAGTACAAATGTTCACAATTTAAATAAAGCTGGAAGAGCCTCCATATAACAAGGGTTTCCTGTGGCAGCACACCCCATCTTTGTCAACGAAAGGGAAACATTAATACTTGACAATTCTAAATAACAGTAAGGCTGAGGCAAGAAAAACATGTCTGACTTCCTTGTTTATAGTTTAAACATATGTAATATTAAAATAAAAATAATGCAAATTATTAGAAATCAAATCCATAAATGTATATTAAAAATAAAACATTTTCTAGAAAATTCCAAGGTGGTAGCTATGAAAACAAAGTAAACATTAATGTTTGCATAATTATCTACACAATTTGGTCAAAGTCTTTAGCAAATAAAACAAATTTTGGAGCTAGAATTCCCCAGTTAAACCAATTCGCTGGGTAAATTATCTTTTAAAATGTATATTGGTTTTTTTTTTTTTTTGGTCACAGATGATCATGAAAGAAATTTTAGGAAATACTGAAACATATAAAAAGAAAAACAAATTCTTCATTATGCCAAAACCCAAATATAGGCATCGTTAACATGCTGTGTTTCCTCCATGTTGTTTTATTTCCAAAGCACATATCAATATAGCTGCAGCTAGTTTTTAAAAATCAAGGCCAAACCAAATAACTAGATGGACAACTAGATAGACAGATACAGACAACAGCTATATCTTTATAATCTTATAATCTTGATGAGTTGCCCTTCATATGAATCTTCAGGATAACCATGTAAAGCAAGCAGTAGTGCTATCTGCTTTATGGATGAGGAAGCACAAGGAGGTCAAATAATGGACCTGTGTCCTCTATTAGACCATAAAATCCTCTAAGACAGGGCCTAGCTAGTTACTCATCTCTGACTTCCTGCTTCTCTTACTGCATAATTTGATCACATCTTAGATAATCAATGAATGTGAACCTGCTATTGAAATGACAGTCAGATAGAAGAGGAAAATGATGTTTTCTTGTGTAGTGGATGTGATAATTGTTCTCAAATCCTCAGTCCCACCCTCTGGAACCCCACAGTGGGGTCAAGTAGGGGGTTGTGTACATCTCTGCCCACTGATTTGGGGTTAGACCATGTGACTGGTTTTGGCTAACTGGATCCTGGCTATCTGGATCCAAACTCAGCCAGCACACAGCATAACTCACCAGCATATATGTACCTGAACAATAAAATAAATGCATGTTGTTGTAAACTATTGTGCTTGATGGGTTTTGTTATGCAGCTTTACTGTAGCAATAACTAATAATACCTTACAATGTATTCCTCCACATGCAATAACTAGGGTAAGCTGATCCATAATTTTATTATTTATAAGCGTCAATTTCTTTACTGAGGAAATTGTCTTCTTTTTTTTTCTTTTTTCTGAGACGGAGTCTTTGCTGTTGTTGCCCAGGTTGGAGTGCAATGGTGCAATCTCAGCTCACTGCAACCTCTGCCTCCTGGGCTCAAGCGATTCTCCTGCCTCAGTCTCTCAAGAAGCTGGAATTACAGGCATGCGCCACCACACCTGGCTAATTTTTTGTATTTAGTAGAGATGGGGTTTCATCATGTTGGTCAGGCTGGTCTCAAACTCCTGACCACAGGTGATCCACTGGCCTTGGCCTCCCAAAGCGCTGGGACTTCAGGAGTGAGCCACCGTGCCCGGCCAGGAAATTGTCTCCTATTTGAAAGGGTTATGCAGGAAAATGCCTCTGTTTGTCAGGTAGCAGATCCACATGCTCTTCTGCTATTGGGGTCTCTGTATAGACCCCAATAGTTTACACAAATGGAATGCAGGATCTCTATATTTATACCCCAATCTGTGCAACAGAACTTGAAAACAGAAGCCCAATAAAAGTCTACTCTTTCATTGGGTGAACAAAGACTAAAAGAATGAATTTATGATGTACTGACAACAGTTAGGCTGTAATTCTTATAGACAGACCTCTAAATGTTCCCACTCTTGTTTAGGTAGCACTATCTAATAGAATATGTGAGTTATACATATATTTTAAAATGTTCCAGTAGTCACATTTTTTAAAAAGGTAAAGAGGCATGGGTGAAATTAATTTTAACACTAAGATGTATTTAACTCAATATTTCCAATATATTATCATTTCAACCTATTAATAACATGCAAAGGTATTCATGATATATTTTGCATCCCTTTTTTCATACTAAGACTTCAAAATTCACTGTGTATTTTGCACTTACAGTACATCCAGTGTGGACCAGCTACATTTTAAATTTGGCTGCTGGTTAGCACACTGGTGCAGTTTTAGATGATGTGATAAATTGTCTCTTTCAATGTATTAGATTCCTGAGGCTGCCATAACAAATTGCCACATACTTGGTGGTTTAAAAGAACAGACATTGACTCTCAAAGTTTTGGAGATCAAAAGTCCACAATTAAAGTGTCATCAGTGTCACGCTGCTACGGGAGATTCAGGTCCCTGCCTCTTTCAGCCTCTGGTGGTTCCAGGCATTCCTTGGCATTGCTCTAACCTCTGCCTCCATCTTCACATTGCCTCCTCCTCCTCTGTCTGTGTCAAATCTTCCTAGTATGTCTCTTACAAGGACACTTGTCACTGGATTTAGGACACACCTGGGTAATTCAGGATGATCTTTTCCTCTCAAGATACTTAATTATATCTGCAAGGAGCCTTTTTCCAAATAAGGTGTCATTCATAGGTTCTGAGAATTAGGACATGGACATATCTTTTTGGGGACTGCTATTCAACCCATTACAATTAAAAATTACAAATTAACTTAAAAATAAAAAAAAGCAGGTTGCATGGGCCTATGAGTAGAGGCTCACGTGTCAAGTGTGGTTCATGCATCAGGACTTATAACTGGGCATAATACGCACATCAAATTCAATAAAAATAAATTATATAAATTTAATTTAATAATAAAAGGATCGTTTATTAGGTGTTACCATGGAACACTCACTAGAAAGACATAAATGAATAAAAGGATCACTAATCAACTTTTGGTGAGGATGTGGAGAACAAGATCTCTCTTGTACTCTTAATAGGAATGTAGATTAGGGCAACTACTTTGAGAAAATACTTTGCTCTATTGAATATAAGCACACTCTAGGACTCAGCAATTCCACCCATAGGTGTTTGTGTCAGACTCATGTGTTAGGATGTTGAAAGCAACACTCTTTGTCATAGCACCAAACCGAGAACTATACAAAAGACTGTCAATTGTATAATGGATAAATACATTTGGTATATTCATACAATAAAACTCTACACAGCAAAGAAAATGGACAATCTACAGTAACACCCAACAATATATGCATATAATGTTGAGTGAACCAACCCAGAGAGAAAAAAAGCATACACAGTGTGAATTTATTTATAAAAAATTACAGTTTTTATTAGTTCTAATTTTTTTTTAGCTATCAGGAAAATGGATTTATGATCATTTTCCTCAGACTCAACTCATTATCTGCACCACCCAAATAAAAGTGTATTAAATCAGATTCAATGGGGGGACCTCATCCCCCAGCATCTTCTTTCCTGTGACTCTGCTTTAGTTTTCTTCATAGTTCATATCAATTTCTTAAATAATATTATTTATTTGCTTGTTTATTGTCTCCTATTATTGATCCCCACTCTTAACAGAATATACAATCCAGCTGGGTGCAGTGGCTCATGCCTGTAATCTCAGCACTTTGGGAGGCTGAGGTGGGTGGATCACCTGAGGTCAGGAGTTTGGGACCAGCCTGGCCAACATGGTGAAACCCGATCTCTACTAAAAATACAAAAATTAGCCAGGCGTGGTGGTGGGCGCCTGTAATCCCAGTTAGTTGGGAGGCTGAGGAAGGAGAATTACTTGAACCTGGGAGGCAGAGGTTGCAGTGAGCCAAGACCATGCCATTGCACTTCAGCCTGAGCCACAAGAGCGAAACTCCATCTCAAAATTAATAATAACAATAATAATAATAATAATAAAAATAATATACATTCCATATGAGCAGTATCCTTGTCGGTCCTCAGAGATGTCAAATTTCATTCAAGAAAATATCTGCAGACCCCTGATTGCTAATGTTGTTTATGTGGAATGGGAATATAGTCCCCCATAGAAAAGGCTTGTAGCATAGCAAGTTCGAGTTATGGTCTTTAATTCCATCAAGACCCTACTTGTAGAAAGAATGTCATAGGCAGTTGCATGCCATCACAGAAAAGCCCTTTCCTTACCCAGGTAAAGCCTAGATAATACACACTTTCTCTCCCTTAGCCCTGACTTTATGTCCACTGGGTTTTTGCATCTTCAGCTAATTTAGTTGGGAACACATGGTAAGTGAATGTGGATGTGGTCTCTCCAAATCAGTCTCTAACCCACAGAAATGCTACTTGTTTCTAAACGAAATGTTTAAATTACAATGTTGAATACCATGTAAAATACTGAAAATTAAATTTATTTGATAGTAAATCAACTATATTTTGGATTGTAGAGCCCTTTATTCAAATAGACCTTGATAAGATTACATAGCTATTAGCAATAAAAAAAAATTATTACTGTTACATGACTTCTTAAGTGTCCTGAACACACAGCACTATATTTGTGGCGTGGGCAGAAAGGCTGCCGAATGTGAGATGAAGTAATTTGTTTCAGATGCCACAGCTGGGCAGTGGCACAGCTAGAAATAGACCCTAACACAGTTGACTTTTTTTACAGTGTGATTTCAGCTACTCAGACAAAAATGCTAATATGCTTAAAGGTGTAAAGCTATCCAGAGTTAAGAATCATTGTATTAAATATGTGTTGCATTCAGCTATCTACAAATTTACAGTATGTCCCATGCATCTGATTTAAAATATCAGAGAATTTGCTAAGGGATGTCTAATATTTATGTCGCCATAATCTGATTTTTTTTTTTAAAAAAAACTTCCAATTCAGAACAGTTTTACAGTACCTATTTCATTTTTCCTTTTTCTTTCTTTCTTTCCTTTTCTTTCTTTTTTCCTTTTTTTAAGAAGGGGTCTTGCCCAGGCTGCTGGAGTGGTGCAGTGGCTATTCACAGGTGTGATCCTCATGTACTGCAGCCTTGAACTCCTGGCCCCCGGTAATCTTCCCACCTCAGCTTCATGATTAGCTGGGACTATAGGTTCACACCACCATGCCCTACTACAGCAACTATTTTAGATGTCTATAAATAGATTTACAGAAAAGTTGCAAAGAGAATAGACAGAATACTCCTATCTATACCTTCTACAACAGGGGAAACTGTTTCTGCTGTTGTTAATATCTTACATTAGTATGATATATTTGTCACAGTCAATCAACCAATATTGATATTTTTAAAAAACTAATGTCCATATTCTATTCATATTTCCTTAGTTTTGACCTAGTGTCCTTTCCTTGTTCCAGGATCCCATTTAGGATACCACATTGCATTTACTCATCATGCCTTCTTACGTTCCCCTATACCACGAGTTTTCTCAGACTTTCCTTGTTTTTGAAAACCTTGACTGTTTTAAGGAATCCTGCTCAGGTATTTTGCAAAATATCCCTTAATCTGGATTTGTCTGATGATTTTCTCATGATTAGACTGGAATTTTCGGTTCTGGGGAAGAAGACCAGCAGATAATGTCATTATTACATCACACCAAGGTTACAAACCAGCAACATGACTTAATACTGAAAATGTTGACCTGATCACCGGCTGAGGGAGTGTGATTTGGTTTGGCTGTGTCCCCACCCAAATCTCAACCTGATTTGTATCTCTCAGAATTCCCACATATTGTGGAAGGGACCCAAGGGAAGATCACTGAATCATGGGGGCCTGTCTTTCCCATGCTATTCTCGTGATAGCGAATAAGTCTTAAGAGATCTGACGAGTTTATCAGGGGTTTCCGCTTTTGCTTCTTCCTCATTTTTCTCTTGCCGCCACCATGTAAGAAGTTCCTTTTGCCTCCTGCATAATTCTGAGGCCTCCCCAGCCATGTAGAACTGTAAGTCCAATTAAACCTCTTTTTGTTCCAAGTTTTGGGTGTGTCTTTATCAGCAATGTGAAAATGGACTAATACAGAGTGTTTGTCAGGTTTCTCCACTGAGAAAGTTACTCTTTTTCCCTTTTTCCATATTGTACTCTTTGGAAGATACTCGTTATCTGTGATTTAAAGGCTGGGGAGTTTTTTTCCAGCCTATCAAGGGTGCATTAACCACATAAGTTACTTGGGACTATTCTGTATGAAAGATTTCTTATTTGCTCACATTAAAAAAAATTTTATTTTCAAATTTATCCATTTGTTAAATTAAGCTATGCATGTCTCATTTTAGTATCACATGATTCATTCTAGCTTTCCTCCCTTGGTTATGTGTAACAGTTAAAATATCAGGAGGCAATGGGCTGTGTAGCCTCAGAAGTTACACTGAAAGTTAAAACAATCTTCTTTGGATTGTCAGGGGCTTATAAATAGAATCCTGATTCTTTACTTACTTAGCAGTCTCATTTTTCCTACTCTGAAACACCACATCTCAAATATTCATTATAAGTTCCCACTGTCCAATACCACATTCTAACAATTCATTAAAATACCCCCAATAAACGGATTTTAAAAAGCCAGAAAGAGCCCAGGTAAGTTGATCCCTCACATAAAATCACTATAATTCTTGTTTTTTCTGGGAATTTACTGTAATACTGGTAAAACTGAATAATAGAATTTGAACAGCCTTACTCTTTGCATTATATTCATTTTCTAGTGCTTCTTCAATGAATTTTCTTTATGAAAAGGGCTCTCTGCTCGACAGGCTCTTATGTAGATGGAATGACCTTTTGCTGCCTTGGAATACTGGAAGGCAAATTTCAACTCATCTGACTCACAAAACTAAATAAGTTCTGGCCTCCATTAGCAAGGAGATAGAAGATAGTGAACCTCACTTTCCTTTTGTTGCTTTTCAATTCACAATAATTTCATCTTGAAATTATTATGTGTTGAAAACACTTAACACAAGACAATTTTTGCCTGAATGCATATGCCATATTTTAATGACTGAAGCTGTAATTTAAAACATTACCTGCATGTTCTTCCATTTTTCCTTAAGGTTATTCTTGTACACTGACACTAGTAAGTTGAATAAATTTGTTTTCATTACATCCAGTAAAGTTTACTAAAGAAAGAGAGAAACAGCTTTTATCACTATGGTCATTACTGATTTTAAAATGTAGCTTTAAGCAATTTCGTTTCTTCAATTACTCTATCCACATATTTTCCTTCTTCCATCAAAGCCATAGAACACATAAAAGTCAATAAAGTAAATCTGTAACTCATGCTATAAAATGCAGGAATGACTTGACTTGGGCCTTCAAATCCTCCATCACACATACAGGCAATGATGGGCTGGTAAATGTTAACAAGCAGCTATCAAAAAAAAAAAGGAAGAAAAAAAGCCCTAATTAGTAGTGTTTGTCAATTTATCTTGTGTAAATACTCTCATGGCCAATTTCAATCTATCAACATGGTGTCACTGAGCACAGATTTGGGCAGAGATGTCAGTAGCATCATTATATAGCATTCCTACCATTTGGATATAATGATTATAAATAACTTTGAGAACATGGATAATAATAAAAAGTAGGAAGTGACAGTATTAACATGATCATCTTTTTTCAATATAATGTATTTAGATTGAAGTTTATGTAGTTTAATAGCTGTGTTTAACAACTGGCTCTGTAAATTGGTACAAGCCAAATTCAATATGCTGAAGTCTAACAGGGAAGGTTTTTGGCTACTTGATTGTCCAGGTTTCAGCTGGCTTTGATTTCACTGGAAACAACCAGCTTCTCAGAAGGAAAGTGGGGTAGATTGATTGCAAAAGTGGCCACAATTCTTCACCTTCCCTGTATCCACATCCTTTTGCAACATGACTGTAGCTCCTTCTATTTCCCTACTGCTAAATCGGGGGAAAACTGGCTTGACCTTGAGACTTGCTTTGGGCGAAAGCATGTGGCGTAATTGATGGAGTGCCTGTTCCAAGTCTAGGCCTCAAGAGGCCTTGTGTGTTTCCACTCTGTCTCTTACTGTTCTGCTTTCACTGTGAGGATATCCCCAGGGTGGAGAAACCAGAAGAGTGCTGATTTTAAGGGAGAGCTGAACAAAACACGCGGAGATGAGTAGGGACAACTCTAGACTAGTCTAGAGCCAGATGACCTCGAAACATGTGAGAGACCCCAGCCCAAATCAGCAGAGCCACTTCATCAACCCACAGCTGACCACAGACACATACATGAACCCAGAACCACTCAGCTGACCTGCAAACTCATTAGCAATAACAAATGTTTATTGTTTTATGTCACTGGGTTTTGGGAAGGTTTGTTAGAGCTTGAGAATAAGACTAATTTCTGTCTTCTATATGGAGAACTGAAAGAGTCATCATTTGAATACCTACTGAAAGCAAAGAGGACTCCTGAAAATATCAGAGGAAATAGGACTAACATGTAGGAATTAAGGGTTGAGAGAAAAATATTGCTCATTTTGCTAATCTGGATACATACAACTTCAATAATTGTGGTGTGTTAATGTTACTTGAATTCAAAACTCTGGTCATAATCAGCTATAATTATGCCATGGTGTTAAAGCCATACTTCCAAAATATTCTGTTTTATGGATTCAATACTGATTATATCTTGCAAAGAAGACTTGCTTTTAAAAAATACTACTAGTAAATACTAGTATTTCTGGGGAAGAATTACTAAAAGAATCTGTACATTTTCAAAACTTTGAATATTTAAATTATAGAATGTTACCCTCACCACCATATCATTTTGAGACAATGAAATCATTCAATCCCATACTTCAGTTGCAAATTGATATTTCCTTTGAAATATTAGTTTTCCAAGGAGCTTGACATCCTGCTTCTCAGGGGAGAAAAAAGGAAGAAGGGGAATGCAAAATAAGCTTAGGACTTGTACCTTTTATCCTCTCTACTAGGTGTTTTCTAATCTCATTTTCAGTTCGGTGCCAGGAGATGTGCTTTACATAGAGAAATGCAAATCATTAGACATTCAAGGCAAAGTTGGAATTAGTGTAAAAATTTTCAGAATGGAAGGAACCTAGGAATTTTGTGATCCCAAATGTTTTTTCTACACAATAGGAAACTGAGGAAAAATGGCTTTGTGCTACAGATGTGCAGCTATTTAGCCAAAACCCTGAAACAAAAACATAGGTCAGTTAACTCTTAGAACAGAGCATTTATTCCATGAAATCACAAAACCCATTGCTTTCAATGAAAGTTGATTGTCAATATTCCTTCAATAAAATTTGTCTGCAAAGAAAAATTCATCTTAATTGCTATAAAATCAGTCACAATTTTACTTAATAAAAATAGATAAAAGCCACAATTTCTGTCTATACATAAATACTTATGAGCCAAAAAGCAAGCCTGATTTAACTCAAAGTATCAGATAAATTCTGCATCATAAAGGACATTATAGACAAATCATGACTCTCAATTAATGAGAAAGAAATGGTCCTAGTTTCCAATATAATGGATACTCAAGTACAAATGAGTTACTAGTAAACCATTCCCATATGGTTAGTCTCCTGAAGATACTGAATGTTCATGGGTGCACCTATTCTAGATGCTGAAAAAAATTAAGCTTTAAAAATGAGTATAGATTTTCCCCTGAGGAATGCAATGGCCATTTCTGCAATCCACAATCTGTCTTGCAGTGGCACTATCAGAGCTCACTGAAGCCTCAACTTCCTGGGCTCAAGTGATCCTCCTGCTTCAGGCTTCCAAGTAGCTGGGACTACAGGTACGTGTCACTACACCCTGCTCACATGCTATCTTGTTTCTGAACATCAACATATCACTTAAATGCTTCCTTCTCTGTGAAGCCTTGCCCATCTTCCTGCATTCCCTCCATTCCAACCTACGGCACCACTGGGCAAATTAAAATCTAATATTTCCAAACACTTCTTACGATTCCCAATTACATCATTTACTACATTTGACCTTGTATTACAGCCTTTGGACACTCCCTGTTGTTTTTTGTTTGGTTGGTTTTTGAGACACAGTCTTGCTTCATTGACCCAGACAGGAGTGCTGTGGTGCGATCATAGCTCATGGAAGCCTTGAACTCCTGGGCTCAAGTAATCCTCCCATCCTCAGCCCCTCAAAGCCTTAGGATTACAGTCATGAGCCACTGTGCCTGGCTTTGTGGGGCTGAGGAGGGAGGGTTTCAAAGGTAAGAATCATGAGCATAAGAACTATGTTTTATTTCTTTTTTTATATCATTTGGGACTTCACACAGTGATTTTCCTATAAGAGATGTCAACTATTTTTATTTAATTAAATAGTTCTAACTCACAAAGAGTTTAGAATCTAATAAAATGATATCATATACAACACTGATTAATTTTTGCCCAACTGCAAAGGGATGAGAATTTTACCAAGTCATCAAAATACATAAACTTAAATTCAAAGACAAAAATAGATATAAAATTTAGAAATAAGGAGGTGACACTGTAATTGTTACAGAGAGTATGAGTTAAAATGAAAAAAATCAAATGAAAACTTTTTTTAAATTTTTTTTTTATTTTTTTGAGATGGAGTCTTGCTCTGTTGCCCAGGCTGGAGTGCAGTGGCACGATCTCGGCTGACTGCAAGCTCCGCCTCCCAGGTTCACTCCATTCTCCTGCCTCAGCCTCCCGAGTAGCTAGGACTACAGGCGCCCACCACCACGCCTGGCTAATTTTTTTTTTTTTTTTTGTATTTTTAGTAGGGACGGGATTTCACCATGTTAGCCAGGCTGGTCTCCATCTCCCGACCTTGTGATCCGCCTGCCTCGGCCTCCCAAAGTGCTGGGATTACAGACATGAGCCACCACGCCCGGCCTGGAAACTATTTTTTAAAAGATTCGGTGAAGTACATGGATACATAATATTATGTCAAAAATTAGTTTCCTTTTATTTAATAAAAGGTGGTTAGAAATGTAAATAAAAGCTCCACTTAAAACATCAAAGTGATGTAACACTCAGCGGAAGCTTAACTTTAACTGTAAGATCTATATGATAAAGACCTTAAAACATTACTAAGGAATACAAAAGACAACCTGAATATAAATGAAGACATATTTTCTGCTTGCATAAAAGTAGTATGCTAAAGACATAAAGTGTTATAACATTAATCTCATCACTTAAAGAAATACCAATAAAAAATACACATGGTTTTTAGGAGAACAATATAAATTGATTCTGAAATTCAAATGAAAATTAATATAAATGTAAATAAAACTTGATAAAGCAGGACTATACCAAGTAATATATATTGTAAAGCCACAATAATTAAAACATTTTATTACTAGTCTAAAAATATATAGAAAAGTCAATGATCTCAGGGGAAAATGGAAAGATACAGAAGCTTTCAGTGTATAACCAAGATAGCATTCCAAATCAATGAGAAAAAAATAGGTTATGCAATAAGTAATGTTAGATGACCTGGCAGCCATCTAGAGTAACATAAAATAGATATTATGGTAAACATTATGAGCTCACTAATCACTGGTTCTCCTTTCACCCCTGGGCATACTGGAATCTGTATGTCCCAGCCTCCTTGAATTGGGCTGGGCCATGTGACTTGGACATGGTCAATAAGCAGAAGGGATGCATGTCACTTCTAGGCTGAGGCATTGAGGAATCCTCTTTGATTCTCTAGCTGTTTTCTCCTGCCACAGCAAATGCAAGGCCTCTTGCTGAGATGGTTGAGCTCAAGACAGAAACATCCCTAGATCACTGAGGATAGCTATCTTGGAATGTTTTTGCAGACCTTCAGCAGATGGTTTGAGCAAGAGATGTATTTTTGATGTGTTATTCCACTGACATTTGGGAGTTGTTTGTTATCATGGACTACTTTAATCCTGACTAATAAAGATTCCTTTGTCACTGTCATAAAATAAGGTCCAGATAGCTCAAAGATACAACCATAAAAATTAAAATCATAAAAACACTGGAAGAAATCACAAAATAATCTTTATTATTTTAGAATAGTTATTCCAAGCGGTGCTCTGTTTGGAAGTACAGTTTTTAAAAAGGGACTAATAAATTTGACTACAAAACATAATTCTGGAAGGCAATAATTCTACAAGGTCAAATTAAAATTAAAAGCTGGAGATCATATTTCCAGTATATGATAGCTCTTAATATATCAAAATATCTTACGAAACAGTGAGAAGAACTATATATTGGAAAATGGGCAAAGGATATGGTTAGAAATACAAACAACACAATATGAAAAGTTTCCTCTCCACTCACAGTAGAAGAAATTCAAATTTAAGTAATAAAGAGCTCCCAATTTTTCATCTATAACATTTCAAAGATCAAAAAAATTCAATCAAACATGGTGTTGGCAAGAGTATGAAGAAACAGGTAATCTTGATTGTTGTTGGTGGAAGTGTAATTGATTAATTTATATAATCTCTTCGCTGAGCCATTTGGCAATGCATTTCATAATTAAAAATGCACATATATTTGGACTTAGCAATTTCACCAACAGGAAATTCGAATATACCTGTATTGTGCCCAAAGATGATATTTTATATATACATATATATACACATCAAAGCATTGTTTGAGGCAGCAAAAAACCGGAAACAATAAAATGCCTATTAACAAATGACTAAGTACATAAATTATGGCACATCTATAAAATGAAATAATACTCTACAACCTCTAGAAAAAGAATGAGGACTTGTATTTGTGCTGACACGGCATAATTTCTGCAACAAATTGCTAAGTTTAAATAGCATTTGATAGCATGTCATCATTTACAGGTTTTCTGGGAAACGAAAACAAGAAACTGCAGTACTATGAATCCTTGCCTCAGGGGAAGGGAACAGAAGAAATGGAGAAGGGGAAATACTTTTTAATAAGATAACCTTTAATAGTTGTAATTTACTTTTTAGTAGATGTAAAAATCATTTATTTCAAAAAATAAAAACAATTTAAAAACATTACATCAGACCAATTCCACTGCTACCCACATGGACTAATAACATTTTAATTTTCATTTCCCAAAGGTCATAAATGGCAAGAGTGATTATGTGCCTGGTAATCAGTGGTAAGAAAATTCTGGCACAAAGAATAGAATACACAGGCTCAGACAGTTGCCACCTGTGACAAGTCACTTAAAGGAAAACTTATTCAACTTAAAATATCTTTCTAAGAGGAAGTGAAACTGACAGTTCTCACCCTCCTCAGATAAAAATCCAATCAGGAAATATGACATTGTCACCCACATAGTGCAGCTAAGGTACTTCCCTATGCCACCACAAGCAGTTGACAATGTCAGAAAACTTCTGACATTATGCAAGATTTCCATTCCATAAAAATGATAGACTTAAAAAGCACAGGGCAGATGCAGCATTAATCTGTTCCCACAGGCTTTATGGCTATTTAAAGGGCCTGTCAACATGAATAATGCACAGGAGTTATTTTTACATAAAATGAGCTCAGAAATTATAGAACAAACAACTTATATGATGGCATGGATTTCTAAAAATGAAAGTTTATAAGGCAGAATAACCAAAAGGTTTTTTTTCTTATTTTTATTTTCGGGACTTTGTGGGTAAATCTACAAGATATTGCTAATTGTTTAACTAGTAATGATTTTGTCATTTTCTAGGAATTTGAAAAAATAAAGTAAAAAAAATAAAGTTTTGAAAACTAGAAAATGGCATTCTCTACCTACATAAAATATATGAAACAAACAAAAATTGTCTTAG